>NT_187530.1:0-110395 GCF_000001405.40 Homo sapiens | reverse complement strand
TCTCAGCCTTCATTTGGAAAAGACTTTCTCTCTCCTTCATTTATGAAGCTTAGTTTCACTAGGTGCAAAATTCTTGATTAATAATTATTTTGTTTAAGGAGGTTAAAGATAGGACTCTAATCCTGTCTGGCTTTCATGGTTTCTGCTGAAAAATCTGCTGTTAATATGATAGGTTTTTCTTTATAGATTACCTGATGCTTTTTCCTCACAGCTCTTAAGATTGTTTCCTTCATCTTGACTTTAAGTAACCTGATGACTATGTTTTATTTTATTTTGTGGGCTTAGATGATGACCTTTTTTGTGATGAATTTCCTGTGTGTTTTTTGAGCTTCTTGTATTTGAATGTCTAGATGTTAAGGTTTCCTTGATTATTGCCTCAAATAAGTTTTCCAAACTTTTCTATTTCTCAGGAATACCAATTATTCTTATGTTTGGTTGTTTAACATAATCCCAAATTTCTTGAAGGCTTTGTTCATGTTTTAGTTCTTTTTTCTTTGTCTTTGTCAAATTGTGTTAATTCAAAAGCCTTGCCTTTGAGCTCTGAATTTCTTTCTTCTATCTTTTTGATTCTATTGCTGAAACTTTCCAGTGTATTTTGCATTTTTCTAAATGTGTCTTTCATTTCCAGAAGTTGTGACTGTTTTTTCTTTATGACATCTATTTCTCTGGAGACTTTTTCATCCATATTCTATATTGTTTTTAAATTTCTTTAAGTCAGTTTTTAACTTTTTCTTGTGCCTTTATGAGTAGCTTAATAATCAATGGTCTGAATTCTTTATTTGGTTACTCAGATGTTTATTCTTGGTGTGGCTCCATTGCTGGAGAGTTAGTGTGATCTATTGGGGGTATTATAGAGCCTTAGTGTGATCTATCAGGGGTATTATAGAGCCTTTTGTTATAGTACCGGAATTACTTTTCTAGTTCCTTCTAATTTGGGTAGACTATTTCAGTGGGAAGATCTGGAACACAAGGGCTTCTGTTCAGATTCTTTTGTCCCATAGGGTGATCTCTTGGTGTGGTGCTCTCCTCCCTCCCTAAGGATGGGGCTTCCTGAGAGCCAGATTGCAGTGATTATTATTGCTCCTCTGGGTCTAGCCACCCAGATGGGCTACTAGGACCCAGGATAGTGCTGGGGAGTGTGTGCAAAAAGTCCTGTGTTGTCATCTGTCTTCAGTTCTTCCAGCCATGGATACCAGCACCTGCTCTGGTGAAGCTGGCAGGGGAGTGACAGGGACTCTGTGGGAGTCTTTTGTTGTAGTTTTATTTAGTGTGCTGTTTTTTTCAAATGCTGGTTATGCTAGCAGTGAAGTTGTCATGGGGACAGACTCAGGATCTCTGGTTAGCCAGGGTATTGCAGGTAGTGGAAGTAGCTGTTGTTTTCTCCTTTGGAGCAGAGTTGTTCTGTTATGAGTTGCTGTAATGACTTGAGTTGGTTGGATTCCAGCCAGAAGGTGACACTTTCAAGAAAGCACCAGCTGCAATAAGAGAAGGAGGATATAATCTTGCCCTATGTTGACCAGGATAAGTACTCAGGTTTCTCAGGTGATGGGCAGAGCCATAAAGCTCCCAAGAGTTTATGACTTTTGTCTTTGGCTATCAGGTTGGGTAGAGAAAAACCATCAGGTGGGAGCAGGATTAGGAATGTCTGAGCTCACTCTTTGGGCAGGGCTTGCTGCGGTCATTGTGTGGGATGAGGGGTCATTCTCAGGCCAATGGACTTATGTTCCCAGGGGGATTATGGCTACCTCTCCTGTGTCATACAGGTCACCAGAGAAGTGGAGAAAGCCAGCAGTGACAGGCTTCACCCAGCTCCCACACAGCCTGCAAGGCTAGTCTTACTCCCAACAGCACCGAGTTTATGTCCAGGCAAATGTGGAGCAGCACTGAAATCTTGCCCAGGCTACAAGCCTCCATGCTGAGAAAGCAAGCAGGGCTCTCAGACCTCACCCCTTCCCACCTGCCTGCACCTTCCCCTATGTGTTCTGCACTCAAAGCTTCACTTCCTGTTCACACTCCAGGATTCTGCTTGGGAAAATTTGTGCTCAGTCGAAATTATTACAAAGTTTATCTAGAAACTTCCTTCACCCTGTGGTCTCTCCCCACTTCCACTGACTGCCTTCCCTTCCCAATGACCCTTGTGAATTAAGGCCAGAAATGTCTTCCCTGGGCTTTCACTGGGAATGAGGATTACCTACAGGGCTCTTTCTACTGCTTCTTTGGCTTTTATATTTTGCTCAGCTCCCTAAACACATTTCAACTCTAGGTAAGGCTGAATCCTTCTCCTGTGATCTGTATTTTGAGGTTCCACAATAGGGATGTATGTTCAGAAGCAGCCTTTTCCCCACCTCACACTTTGGAAACTCAGTTTTTTGGCTGTGTCACAGTTTGCAGCAGTAAGGTGCTTTTTTCAAAGGGTCTGTGAATTTATGTTGTTTTTGTGGTATGTTCCTGTGGTGGTTCTTGGAGCAAAAGTTCACAGTGTGGGTCTCTACACGCTATTCTGTCTCTCCATGCAGGAGTTGCACTTTAGTCCTGTCTCCTATCTGCCATTATTCCCAGTGCTGCTCAAATGCATATTTATTAAAATTACCTCTTGCTTTAGTGAAAGAGGAGATGATTTACACTGTGGATAACATGATGAAGGCCTGGACAAGAATTAGTAGAGTAGAAAGACACCGTCTTCCAGAAAACCACTGAAGGAAGGAAAACAAAATAAGAAGGCAAAGAAGAAATATAAACATTAGACTATAATTTAAAAAATACATTGGCTAAAGATATCACAGCACCCAGCAGAGTACCACAAAGTCTAGGCATTTCATAAATATTCGTTGAGTTATTTAGTGAAAATAAGAATGAACATCGAGAAGGATATTAGACTCTTGCTGTTGAATATGTGCTCTCATTTGCTTTCAAATCCAAAACAAGAATTAATAAACATAGAATTTATTTGCTTTGGATTTAAGAAGATAATTTGCACTATTCCAAATCCAGGTTATTTTTGTTCTTGATTATAACCTAAATTCTATAAGGGTAAATGGCTCGGCAGACAGTAATGAATAGCAAGAGTAGTGTATTTAGTACTAATTCTCTTATTTGGTCATTTTTGTCCAAATAAGAGAGTACAATACATGTGTGATATTTACAGTGTTCATTATCCTCAGTTTACACACAAGTATTCAAGTGACCTACTGAAGACCACCTCATGATCTAATGATTCAGTTGAGAATACGGTCTAGTAAAATTGTGGCCTTAATTTCTTTTTTTGGACATGAAAGAACTTGAAAAAATATATAAACATATCTAATTTTAGATCAGTCAAGCTAGAGATAGAGAGTAAACTTTCAAGAAATAGAAATACCCTGGGTACAAATTGATAACTCTAGCTCATCTTTGGTTATTCATATTTTTGATGTTTTCTGCCTAATCAACATGTGGTTTTATGGGGAATCTTGTTTACTTCTACATCATTGAAGGAAACTTTTGGGTTCATAATAGAACTTGTTAAAACTTGTGGTTGAATATTCAGACTCAAAATCTTGCAACTGGAATGCAGTTAACAGAAATTCATGATACTAGCAAAGTGTCGGTTGGTTATAACTTCATATACTGCAACCAAATGTAACACCTGGAAAGTTATAATTCTTTTAAAACACTTATAAGAGCATTCGCTCTTCATCACACCCTCCCCTTGTCCTTACACACACACAAACACACCCACAAAAATAATGTTTTTTTCTGGTAGTATATAAGAAGTAGATAGAATTCCACTTTTTAATCCCTGCTCTAAGGGGATACAATTTTTTAAAAAATGTGAAACTTCAAGTTATCATAGATATCATCTAGTTGGATCACTTTACTTTTTTTTTCATTTTAGTAATCAGAAATTTGGGGTAAAAAGGTTGTGTGCCTAAGATCATGTGGATTGTTACAGAATAAGCTCTGAACAAGAAAGTAGCAGAGTGCAGGAGAATGGGTAGTTACACGTCCTTAGGCAAGTCAGTTAGCCACCTTGAATCTGCTTTTTATTGGTGTTAGACATGAAATGAGAACATATATTTGATAGCATTCAATATGCTAGGAATGTCTATAAAATATAAGCATCATCTAGACTTTCTTTAACCACACAGAGACTGTATTGTGTTTTAGAAATAGTACAGTTTTGGAAAACAAACAGGTCTGAGTTCAAATGTTATCTTCTTTGTTTACTTAGTCTCTCAGAAACTATGCCCTTAGACATTGCTAGTGAAAGTGAAGATAAGGGGACAGACACTCTCATTGGGAAGTGTAAATGTGTGCAAATTTAGAATGCAATTTGTCAACATGTATAACATATTGAAGGGTATGCCCCTTTTATTTACCCTTCCCACTACAAGATATTGACCACAAAGATATATTTACATAGATTTACAAAGGTTTGTATACCATAATGCTTATTACAATATTTTTTCATAGTGACAAAAAAATTGGAAACAAGTGATGAATTCGTTGGTAGAGGATTACTAAATAAATCACTTTTGGGACCCCTTTTGTTATTCTGTTGAATTAGAAAGTGAGTAATTATAAAGGATATTTAAACAGGTATGATGAAATAACATGTGGTAAATAATTTATTTACCATAAACAGGATCATCTTATACACAATGTTTGCCCAAGGCTTTTGACATTTAATAATAGCATTTTCAAACCTTTGTGTTCTATCTCATTTTTAAATGGCCACATGTTATTTCATAATACCTGTTTAAATATCATTTATATATATATATATAATATATAATATATATTCCCAGGGTATATATATATAATATACATATATATATACACATACACATTATATATATATATATATATATATACACACTTGTATATTCTAGTAAAAGCATAAAACTGAGGATGTGTGGTAATTTTGGATCATTTTAGATTTAATTACAAATTAAGAAACAACGTATATTTATAAACAACATTATAGGAGGCATAATAACAGTGTTCTGACCAAACTATAATTAGTAATACAATAACCGGTATAAAATACATAAGGCATAGTACTGATTTCACAGATGAAAGAATGATTTCTCCTCTTTTTTCAATCTCTTTCCTGGGAATTAAAATATAAATATATATAAAATAAAATACATTTAATTAATATGTAATTAAAATATATATCAGTATATTTTTATTCTGCCTCTAATATTTAAATTTTTATTTCTTTTCAAATAAGAAAGCATGAGAGGAACAGAAGATAATTGCATATATTCATTCATTTAAAAAATGAGTGGTTACTATTGGCAAGATTCTGCTAGATTCTGAAAATGCAAAGACAATTAAGACATTTCCTGTTCTGTAAAGTTTACATGCAGGGGGAAATGACATGCATGAAAACGTTACAAGTGTGATAGGTGCAAATACTCATGACACCAAGAAAAAAACAAAGCAGAGGTGCAAAGTGAGATGAAGTTTCCTGATAGGATTTCACTTACAATGAAGTCACACCAGTGTTGGAACCATGTGGTCCTCACAAGTCTAGAGAAGGCATATGAACTTAGTCTTTTACACAACAATGAGCTAGTGAAGGTTTTGAAGCATTGGACATGAGGCACTCAAGTTTTTCTTTAGAAAGATCAAGTGATTGGTAATTCTGCAGCTAGACTGTAAGTGAGAAGTCAGTTCTATAAGCAAAAATATCTGTTGGGAGGTGATTATAACAGTGCACATGAGATGAGAGTGTTGTAAACAAAGGGAATAGTAGTGGGTACAGTGGCAAGGCATGGATTCAAGAGGTGTTTAGAATGCAGAAAGAGCAGAAATAACTGCATACATAGAGTGAAGTCAGTGATGATTTGGGATATCAAATGAGGACAACTGGATGCTTTGTGGTGTTGTTAGTCAAAAAAGAACTCAAAGAAGTGTCTGGGAAGGGTGTTATGGTGAAATACCACTGGTATGGGCACAGTGAGTGTGAAATGCTGAAGCTATATTCATCTTACTAGAAATGATGGAATTATACCATGCATTATGCATGCCTGCAGCTCAGCATCGCGTATGTGAGGAAGTCAGCCCTGATTTCTCTTAGGAAAAGGCTTGATATCTTGACTTGGAAATTGTTCATAGAATGAGAAGAGAAAATAGCAAGAATGAGTGACACACATTTAAGGAGCAGGCCTAAGAAAACAAACCAGTAGTGGAGGCAAAGAAGTGCTAAGATAAATGATGTGTCTTTGTTAGAAATAAGAATGCGCATGATTTAAGAAGTGAATCATTTTCTTTTTTGAAATGGGATTCAGCCTCTTCAAAATCCAGAAACATGCAGCACCTTCTGCTGTTAATTGGCTGCTAGCTATTCTAGATAATTAAATACCACTCGCTGTCCTTAAAATTTGACATACCCTCTAGCAAACTTCATTTTTAAATCTGTTGTCAACCAAGATTTCTTGCTTAAAAGAGATTTTTTAAATAACTGATTTAAAGAAGGTATTATTGCTACCAGGAAAAAATCATTTTAGAGCAAGTTTTATAAATACTTCAGACCAATAGACCAGGCCATCAGAAAGACTGGCACACTCAGAGCAAATCTTCAGAGGAAAGATATCGCGAGTAGACAGAGGAACAACTTGACATTTGGTCAAATAGACCTAACAGACATCTGCATAACTCTCCACCCCAAAACAAAAGGCCATACATTTTTCTCATCTGCACATTGCACATACTCTAAAATTGACTACATGGGAATTAACTTGCTTCTGGATGACTTTTGGGTAAACAAGGAAATTAATGCAGAGTTAAGAAATTCTTAAAACTAATGCAAACAAAGATACAACATACCAGAATCTCTGGGATACAAGTAAAGTAGTGTTAAGAAAAAAGTCTAAATACCTACACTAAAAAGTTAGAAATTTCATATTAACAACCTACTAGAGCAAACCTACCCCAAAGCTAGCAGAAGACAAGAAATAACTAAAATCTGCACAGAACTGAATAAAAATGAGATGTGAAAAATCATACAAAAGATTGACAAAACCAGAAATTGGTTTTTGAAAGAATAACTAAGACCACCAGCTAAACAAAGAAAAAGAGAAGATTCAAGTAAACAGTCAGAAATGACAAAGGGAACATTACCACCAACCTCACAGAAATACAAAAAATCTGAGACTATTATAAATACCTCTATGCACGCAAAATAGAAAACCTACAAGAAATGGATAAACTAATGGAAAATACAACCTTCAAAGATTAAAACAGGAAAAAATTGAATCCCTGAACAGACCAATAAGGAGTTCTAATATTGAATCGGTGTCAGTACCAACCAAGAAAGCCCAGGACCAGATAGATTCACACTAAAATTCTACCAGATGTATGAAGAAGAGATGGTGTCATTTCTACTGAAACTTTCCCGAAAAACTGAGGAAGAGGGACTCCTCCCTAACTCTTCCTATGAGGCCAGTATCATCCTGATAACAAAACATGGCAGAGACACAACAACAACACAAAAAAATTTAGACCAATATCCTTGATGATCATCTATGCAAAAATCCTCAATGAAATACTAGCAACACAAATTCAGCAGCACATCAAAATGCTAACCTGTCATGATAAAGTAGGATTTATACCTGGGATGCAAGGTTGGTTCAACATATGCAAATCAATAAATGTGATTCATCCCGTAAACAGATCTAAAAACAAAAACCACATGATCATCTCAATAGATAACAGAAAAGGCTTTCAATAAAATTCAACATCCCTTCATGTTAATAACTCTCAACAAACCAGACATTGAAGAAACATACTTCAGAAAAAAAAAAAAAGGACCAATCTATGACAAACCCACAGCCAACATCATACTGAATAGGAAAAAGCTAGAAGCATTCCTCTTGAGAACCAGAACAAGACAAGGGTGCCCACTGTCACCACACCTATTCAGCTTAGTATGGGGAGATCTAGCCAGAGCAATCAAGCAACATAAATTAATAAAAGGCATCCAAATAGGAAGAGAAGAAGTCAAATTATCTGTTTACAGATATGATTCTCCACCTAGAAACCCCATATTCTTTGCCCCAAAGCTGCTAGATCGGATAATCAACTTCAGTACACTTTCAGGATACAAAACCAATGTACAAAACCAATAGTATTCTTATATATCAACAACATCCAAGCCGAGAGCCAAATCAAGAACTCTGTTCCATTCACAATAGCCACACACACAAAAATAAAATACCTAGGAATACAGCTAACCAGGAAGTTAAAAGATTTCTACAACAAGACTTACAAAACACAGCTGAAAGAAATCATAGTTGACACAGACAAATGAAAAACCATTCTATGCTCATGAATAGGAAAATCAATACTCCTAAAATGGCCATACTGCCCAAAACTCAATTTACAGATTGAGTGCTACTCCTGTCAAACTACCAATGACATTTTTCACAAAATTAGAAAAAAACTGTTCTAAAATTCACATGGAACCAAAAAAGTGCCTGAATAGCCAAAACAATCCTAAGCAAAAAGAACAAAGCCAGAGGTATCACATTATCGTATTTCAAACTACAAGGTTACTACTTTGATTACAAGTAGACTTGTAACCAAAACAGCATGATCTTGATACAAAAACAGACACATAGACCAGTGAAACAAAATAGAGAGCCAGAACTAAAACCACGTATCTACAACCATCTGATCTTCAACAAAACTGACAAAAACGAACAAAGGGGAAAAGACAACCTATTCAATAAATGGTGCTAGGATAACTGGCTAGCCATATGCAAAAGATTGAAACTGGATCCCTTTTTTTTCACCGTATACAACAATCAACTCAAGATGAATTAAAGATGTAAAGGTAAAACTTAAAATTATAAAAACACTAGAAGATGACCTAGGAAGTACCATTCTGGACATAGGCCCTGGGAAAGATTTCATGACAAAGATGTCAAAACCAATTGCAACAAAAACAAAAATTGACAGTTAAACTAAAGAGCTTCTGCACAGTGAAAGAAACCAGCAACAGAGTAAACAACCTACAGAATTGCAGAAAATATTTGCAAACTATGCATCCAGCAAAGGTCTAATATCCAGAATCTGTAAGGAACTTAACTGACCAAACCAAAAAAAATAAACAATCCCATTAAAAAGTGGGCAAATTATAAGAACAGACACTTTACAAAAGAAGATATGTGTACTCACAACAAGAATACAAAAAATGCTCAACATTATTAATCATTAAAAAGTGAAATTCAAAACTACAATGAGATAGCATATCATACTAATCAGAGTAGCTATTATAAAAAAGTCAAAAAGTAACAAATGCTGGTGAGAATGCAGAGAACCTGGAATGCTTATACACTGCTGTTGGGAATGTAAATTAGTTCAGACAATATGGAAAGTAGTTTGGTGATTTCTCAAAGAACTTAAAACAGAACTATGATTTGATGCACCAATCCATTGTTGGGTAGATATCCAGAGGCGTATAAATTATTCTACCGTAAAGAACCACACGCACGCATGTTTATCACAGCACTATATTCACAATGGCGAAAACACGGAATCAACCTAGATGCCTATCTACAGTGGACTAAATAAGGAAAATGTGATACATGTACACCATGGAATATGATGCAGCTGTAAACAAGAACAAGATGATGTCTTTTTCAGCAACATGGATGAAACCCATGGCCATTATCCTAAGTGAACTAACACAGGAACAGAAAGCCAGATACCACATGCTGTCACTTATAAGTGGGAGCTAAACATTGAATATATGTGGACCCAAAAAAGGGTACAATAAACACCAGGGCCTACTTGAGGGTGGAGGGTGGGAGGAGAGTGAGGATTGGAAAACTACCTATTGGGTACTATGCTTATCTCCAGGGTGATGAAATAATCGGTGCACCAAACCCACAGGTAATGCAATTTACCCATGGAACAAATCTGCCCATGTACCCCTGAACCTAAAATAAAATTTTAAGAAAGAGAGATAAAAAAGAAACATCTTTAGCAAAACATAGATTTGGCTAAGCACATAGGCACATGTGTTATACCAGACTCACTAATAATATTTATTAAAGAGTAAATTAGCTTTACTCCCACAAAGAAGTTGGTTAGTGCACAGAGGAACATGTGAGAGGTAGCTGCTTGGGTTGAATTCTTTCATGTTTGCTCTAGGATGAGTCTTCTTTTTTTTTTTTTTAATAGGAAACTTCGTATTTGTAAAATAAACTAAATTTTCAGTTTTTCTTGACAAAAAACAAAATAAATACTTCAATAAGTATATTTCTCGACACATTTTTACAGTATTTCATGACAAGTGTTTCTCAAAACTACATAAAGGTCTCAATTATCTCACTCCAAGGAACAAATGCCCAAGAGTTGGAGCAAGGCGGTGGTGGCCAGGAATGCCAGGGCCATGACTTTCACTGCTCTCTGTAAAGTAATTAGAAAAGACAATATGGTATGCACCTCATCTCAACCTCAATAACCCTCTATCTTCCTGCGATAAATACAACAAGGTAAACCTTCAGAGTACCTCAGGTTGAATTTAATATTGCCCTCAGAGAGTGTTCCCTTGTTTCAGCCAATTCATTGACACATAAAAACTTCTTCTCATATATTTTTTTAAAGCAAACAACAGCTTTTAATTCCAATAAACCTTCTTTCAGCAAAATACCATGTGAATGAGTTTCTCAATAGTCAAAGCAGCCAGAATTCTCTTGCTAAGCCATGAATTCTATGGCCTCAGATCTGAAAGATAAGCTACTTAGGAGACAAAACTCATCCTTCCTAGTGACTTCTTTTCTATTTTTTGTCTGAGAATGATCCTCTATGGGGAATTTTTTTGTAATAAATGTTCATTTCCCATCTCAATCTCTACCTGTCTTCTGTCAGTGACTGTGTATTTGACTGAAACATGTAGTATTAGGGAAGTAACTGAGGCCATTTCCACGTAGGATACTGCATCCCAAAGCCAAATGCAAGGGTTTTAGAATTATCCACTATTTGGATTGTCCTGCTACTGACACTTTCATTAATGTAGATAAGACAATTGATGTTCAGTGAAATTTCAATGTAGCTGAAATATTAAAGCTTTCAGGTAAACTGCCTAAATGCAAATTCATTGGAAAAGAATCAGAAAGAGTTGAGGAATTTTTTTTTTGAGGAGGGAGAGTCATTGTAAGTGTTATTGAATTTGAAGCCAGAATCTTACTTTATTATTGTTAGAATGAATATACTAGATGTTCATTAATGATTAAGTGATATGGTTTAGATCCAATAATGAATTGAAAAAGAGGTGTGATAGTGTTATTTGTAATATTGTGGAGATTAAAAGATAAGCTCACAGAGGAATTAGAACATGCATTTTAATGCATTGTTGATTAAATGCATTGTGGTTTCTTATCATTTCTGATTTAACTCAAGAGTTCGGAGGGGCTTGAGACTCCATATAGTTTTTATGGTTAGATTTTTAGTGCCAACAGACATCAGTACACAGTTCTGAGAGTACCTGTGAAACCATTCTAATAAAATTAATAAAACTAAACTGCTAGGTTTTTAACAAAAACTAAACTTTAGTAAAAGCATAGATAAGCATTACCAGCTTTCCCTATAGCCTACTTCTCTATAGCTGCTTACTGCTAAAAGTTACAAAACTTTTCTCACTAGGTCCTTTTATAGATAACATCTTTAATGCTAAGAAACTCCAAGGTTTCCATTTGGGATATTTTTCAGATTCTGCATTCCAGTGGGTTCACTGATGCCAGCTTGTCTGAAAACTGACTCAATGTAAGAATGCAGTTTCTACACCTTTGTTATTTCATCCCCCACACCCTAGACAATCAGTGGCCCCCAACTCCTCAGCCCCATACCTGTGAAAATTCCCTTAAAAATCTCAGTCCAAAACTCCTTGGGGAGGCAGATTTTAGGTTCCCTCCCATCTCTTCACTGCTTTACCATTCAACCATTAAACTCTTTCTCTGCTGCTATTCCTGCTGTTTCAGGGTATTAGTACGTTACCATGCAATGGGCACAAACCTAGTGGCCTTGTAACAACTGATAAAAGAATCAACAGAAACTTGAAATGTCAAGTTCAATAATAATAATGGTCCCTGGAAAAATAGAATGGTGGCTAAAAAACAAAACTCTGGATCCATCCTGCCTGAGTTCAAATCCCAGCCCACCAACTATTAAAATTTTTATGCTTTTCTTTTCTTATTTCTAAAACTAGAACAATAATAGTTGCTATTTCACTGAGTGGTTGTAAGAATTAAGACAATTAATGCTATTAACTATATACAATTATTATTAGGCTATACATTGAGTAAAGCCCAAGTATACAGTAGAGTTAGGAAAAGAAAAGTGAAAGGAGGTGAATAAGGTTTCTTAGTTCCATATGTTTATCAAATGCTGAATTTCCCAAAAGACCACAAGAGTTTATTGATCAAGCAAAGCTAGCTTTATTGTACCTATTTAAAAAAGAGAAAATACCACCTTAGTAGAATCACAGTGTCTCAGAACAGGGGATCAGGAGGGGATAGTTTTAAGGTTAGGGGCTCTGGTGTCAAATAGTTTAAGATCAGTCTTTCAAGGTATACAGTTGTTTGTAGGTAGGTAAAATTCATGGCATAATAGTTTATAATTGATATAGTAAGGATGATAAACCACACTTGATAAATTAACCACTCTTGATAAATTAACTCTTCTTCGATAAGCAAGCAGATGAAAAAATCTGTTCTGATAGAAGAACTATTTATCCAGATAACTAAATTGTTTGTACAGATATATTTGTTTGATGAAGTTTCCTGAAGACAGCAAAATATTTATCAGTTTACAGCCTCATCTTGTTAGGTCAGGATTTTCTGGAGAGAATAGAAAATCCATTTGACCTAGGTACTTTCAGATCTAAGGCCTGATAGTTAAACCATGATAATACAGATGATCTGAATCTCATGCTTTAAAGTAGATAGTAGAATATCAAATTTGACCTTTTGATACCTTAGGAGATATATATCTTGAATATAATGATAAGAAAGGTAAGAGAGGATTGGGGGAACTTATTAGGGGTGATTTGATGGGGTTCATATAATCCTATGTGGATACAAAACATTAGAATTTTATATGTAACCCCTGAGACAGGTAACTTAGAAGCTGAGACACTTCCAGATAGTACCTCCTGTGCTTGAAATGCATTCAGATACGTGGCAGGATTTTAGATTCTTTGATCAAAGGAATCATTAAAGGGCATGGGTGTAGGTGTGCTGTGACTACTGGAGCAAAGTCTATACAGCATGTATACTCTACTAGAATTTATTCCGGAACAAGAACATGTGAAGTGTAATGTGTTTGAAGCATAGATTATGAAGGGCATTTTAACTAGAGAGAAAACTAGGAGTGGGGGACGAATTGTGAAGTGTCTGATAAAGATTCTTTTAGAAATCTAACTTAGATCTCTAAACAAGTGCTTTTAAACCAATAGATATTTTAGTTGAGAATGCAAGAGTTATGCTCCAGACTTTTTTTTGTCATGAAGTCATTTTTAGATAATTGGCTTAATTTCCTGTATGTCTCTTCCACCCTTCAATACAGATGTTTTTCTTCTACCCTCCTAGGTTCTCTGGTTGGAGCTCCATAAAATTAAACTGATCAAAGAAAGATTATCAAGAGAAAAACAAAACTTCATTAATATGTTCATCAAATACACATGGGAGTACACAGTAATGAATAACTCAAAGGCATGGTTAGAACTTGGGTTTATATAAAATCTTAACAAAAATGATAAATTTTTAGATAAATTACAAGACAAAGGAAAAGGACTTTGTTTCTAGGGTAAAAACATGGTGGGAAGGCAAACGTATGGGGAAGCAATGGTAGATAAAAACTGGTGTAGTGGAAGGAAGAGTCAACCCCATAAGTTCTTAGGCAGTACTGACCTTTGTAACAAAATATCAACAAGAGAAAAGCGAATAGAAGTTTATTAACATGTATATTTCATACATATATTGGAGACACCCAGGGAATGAGCTGTACTCTGAAAGGTGGCTTCAAATCCAGTATATATAGCATCTTCAATAAAGAATATAGTTAGTAAAGCTTGCTAATGTACATTCCTCTGGTATCATCTCCAGGCAGATAAATGTCCAAAGTTGTCTTCGGTGGTTAATCTTTTATTCCTTGGTAGACAGGGGAGGTGAGATGTCTTCTGTCTTTGCCAATATGTGTCTTGCTCTTTGGCAAATAGAGGAAAGGCAAAGAGCTTTCTTGTATCTGCTTCTTAACTGTTTTCAGCTCAACAATCCGTCATCTTTTGGGAAGACATATTCTGGTCTCCCAAACTGGTTAAAAGTTTATGTCAATTCCTCCGGTGTCAATTTAGGGCTGATAAGTTGTTGCCAGTGATTAACTTCTGTCTTTCCTTATAAGGAGGTGGGAGGATAACTTTACAAATTTATATTCTTCTTTTGGGCAAATAAGGGGAGGGCAGAAAGCATTTCTTATATCTGCTTCTTCTCAGTTGAATTTAGGTCAAATAATCCTTCATTGCAAAGTGGCATATGTTGGGTGGCATATTCTGCTACCTTTCATTAGGGTCAGAATAGCAAGAATATTATTTCAAAGATACAGCAAAGGTCTATGGGAACAAGAGCAGTCTTCTTACCTCTGTACCTCCACATAGAGAGTTGCAATGATAAAGAATTGTTTCCTGAGCATCCTTAAGGAACAACATTCCTGAATCATGTCTACTTCATTATTATCCCTGGCAGAAGAGTTGGAGAAGTAGTTGCAGTTCACTGTGTCACCAAACAAGAATCTCCTTTCCTCTACATATAGGGTAATGCCCCTCCAAGGAAGAAATATGAGGCTGTCATAGCTCCAGCCACTTCCCCTGGCCTGACATTCTACTCATTGGCCTATGATGCTCCTAAAAAGACAGAGGACACAGTGTGGAGGTCATATATTATTCATTGGCATCATGGTGAGCCATCTACCCAGCCTCCCGACTGGAAGTCGAAGCAGTAAACAATGATTCTCGCTCACATATTGTTTTTATTTGCTCACAATTTCCAGTCAAGTAAGGTACGTGTCTCTCAACTCTTTGGAGAAGAGATTACTTCATGATTCCCTTAAATAGAGATTTTCTGCCTTCATTCCCCGAGGAGGCTTGTTACTTCTCATCCTAGGAAGTGTTGCATCTTGCAGGCCCGTACGTGAGCTTGCGGAGCCCTGAGTCCCTATGGTTGGCCTCAGGGAGCAACAGGGAACTGAAATTTCTCAGCAGCTCAGTTTGTAATAAAACCATTTTTCTTGACATTGATTGCTTGCTCTCCTGGAGACCTAAGTCATTTCTTCTGGTCGTTCTGTTCTCCAAAGCACACAGGTTAAAGGGGTTATCACTGTGATCTTAAGAGGCATTGTTTCTGTGTTTACAAAAAAATGTAGAGGTGGCTGTTGGCATCCCAATCCCTCATCCATGACTTACTGTGAATTTCTTACATCAAAGAAGAAGCAAGACTTCTACAAGACACCTTTTCTTTTCTATGGTTCTTTAACCAAAACATAGCCTAGCACTATCGATCTATCGTTCAATATTTATCTAATATCTGCCTAGCACAAAAGGATGAGTTAGGCTCTACCCTCTAGTAGCTTAAAATGTGGCTGAGGAAATAAATTGTGCTGAGCAAATAATGACACATAAAGTGAATGTGAAAGTGAAATTTATATTCAGTGTCCATAAGTAAAGTTTTATTGGGGCGAGGCATGCTCTTTTGGTCACTTATAGTCTATGGCTGCTTTCACACCCTAAAGGCAGGGTGGAAGGGCTGTGACGGAGACATCATGATCCACATAGCCTAAAATATTTACTATCTAATCTCCTATAAATTACATGAATGGTATCTCAGTGTATTTAATATTGTAAACATTTTCAGCCCTGTAAATTATGTTATCATTACAAAACATCTATGAATTAGGAAAGTAGGTATTATTATCTTCACCTGACAGCCAAGGAAGCTGTTGCAACAGATCCTGAGTTAAATACTCAGCACAGCAACCATGCAAAGAAACACATCAGAATGCTGGTTTATTTCAGCCAAAAACTTAAACTGATACCCTTCTGTTTTGCAAGCTTCAAATTGGTGTGCAAAATCTTCCTGTTCTCCTTTCTGTACCCAATCCCCACCCTACCATCCCCAAAGCTTACCTCTTCATCTCACTCTGGGTAACGAATGAGGAATTTTGAGGACTACTGGGCACTATAACTTTTCAGAGCAGGCAGGGCTGCTTCTCAGCCCAGGAACTTGGGTAATTGTCACACATTGGTAAAATTCATCGGAGACAATTGCCCTTAAATCAACATTTTCATCTGCAAGGTGCTGTCAGGGATGGTGTAGGTTATGAATCCTGTCCTCAGAACTGGTGTACAGCTAAGAACAGTTTTGGTCTTTTTTTGAAATTCTCTTTTTTTTGATATTTGAATTTGTTTACTATTATTATGCTTTTAAATCTATATTTATGGATTAAAATACGGAAAGGAAGCATAATGGATGAAAAAATGTTTCCCTTGGGTGCTGGAATGATACATATTTCACTCTAAGTATTCTGTATTTCCTACACTTCTCAATAAGTATGTTTATTTTAGAGAGTTTATTATATATGCAAACATATACATATAAGCATATATACACCTTTTATGGAACTCTTGACCAAACTTTAGACAGGGTCTTCTGAGCCCTCTCTCAACTAGGTCTTGTCTTGGGCCTTCCTAGCCCAGTTTTAGAAAGAATCCTGCTAAGTCAGTGTAGGGAGAATCCTCTCACCCTTGATATCTTGCTACGTCAAGCAAGAATCCTGTCAAGTTGGTTTAGCAAGAATGCTCCTACTCTTGATGTCTCCTCTATGTAATTTTTCATCCATTAACTCCCACCAACTCTGCCTATTCATTATAAGTCTCCAGTTATCCATGCTATATTCTGAGTTGAGCCCTTTTCCTCTCCCATATTGCAATAGTCTTGACACATATTGCAACATTCTTTCTTCACCTGTTTATCTATACACAGTGTGCAAAAAGATGCACATGCAAATATAACAAGTTCTTCCTTTCTTTGGCTTTCCCAGATATTCCATAAAACCAATCTTTGCCATCTTTGTCAACAAAGGTGACTATCCATGGCACACATCTATCAGATTACAATCATGGAGGCCAATTATTGTGCATAACTAAAGCTGATGCTAGAAGACAGTTTAGCCTTGGTAAATCACACATCAGTTCATGAAGACTCAGACTTGGATTTCTATGACAATGTTATCTTAGATCTGAACAAACTTGTGAAGCGTAGAACAGAGGGCATTTGTTCAGCAAAATCTGTGGTTTTGACACTCCCATTTTTAGTGCTTGGTGAATGTCTTCCAAACTCAAATGTCCAAAAGTGAGAGTGGGAGGCGAGTGTTGATTAGGTGGAGCCAGTGCAGGTCTATGTATGATCCTTACAAAGCTGAGACAGGTGACCTATGGCCAAAGGCTGCCATTGATGGGACTTGTCAGAATCCCCCCATTCTTGCTGCAATGGAGTCAGTGGACCTGGGCCAGTAAGGGATGATACATTACAAATACATCAACTAAGTAAGAGAACAGACATAAGATCACTTAAAGGGCATGAAGAAGCTTGTTCTGCTGCAAAGCATTTCAGGTCAGTTTAACTATAATAACGGAAACCTCCACTGTCCTAAGTAAATTATTTTATTGTAAAGACATCACAACACTAATGGCTCCTGTTAAAAGTCAGTTATCTTCTTAAATGGAAAAAAAAAAAAAACATCATTCATTACAATTCAGGAAGTATTTGGAGTACCTGCTGTAGGTATAGTTTGTACTAAGCTCTATGGGTGATACTCAATAACTGACAATGTAGCTGGGAAGGTAGGCACATAAACCTGTGTCCTGAAGGATCAGTTTTTATTTTTAGTTTTTTTTTTTTCACTTCATCACAGACTGATAGGAGGTATTTACATGTGGTTCATCAAGTGAGCTCAAAAGCACTTAGGCTAGTCTGTAACTTGTTTAATGAGAGTTGTTTACTAGTCACTTGTTTGGATGTCATGGCAAAGTCAAATTTCTATATAAACATTTTTAAATGGTCACTCTCAATTGCAGAACTCATCTCACTACTAATTTCTGAATAAATCTCACTGTGGACTGTAAGGAACAGTTTGAGATCAACACCGCACTTTGAGCAGCTCTTGTCTATCCCCCAAATTATTAACTCTGGTTGCATGTTAAACACATCTGGGAGCTTTAAAAATTTCCTACTCTTAGTCCCCACTTTAAACTCATTACCTCTCTGGGGAGTAAGCATGGCATCAATATTTTCAGAGCATCAGAGTAAGGTTCTTCAAGCCTAAGAACTTCAAGGACAATTCACAATGCCTCTATTATTAGATACTTACCTTTTCATACTACACAGTTTATGTCAAAAGCCAACGTAAGCTACTGACTCCTATAAGCTTTGTTAGATCGTTACTCACAAGTGAGTGAATTTCCTTGTGTTGACCAAGTCAGGCATTAGTATTTAGACAATAGCCAGCTAGCAACTGGTTTAGATATCTATAAAAATATCCTTAAGTTGTTCTTTAAAAATCTTTACTATCTTTTTTGTTGTTGTTTTTAGGGTTAAAAAGCAATATAAAATGATTTAAGTAGAAAGAAAAAGATTATCCGTAATCCAACTATTTATACCCAAAAGATAGCCACAGCCAATATAGTGGTATAGTATTTTTCATATATATACTTTTGCACAAAACATGCAAATTTTAAAGTTATAATTGTGTATGTACAATACTATATCCTTTTATACGTATCATTATGGTGAAACTTATATTAAAAACTACACATCTTATGGTTGCATAATTAACCAATCTTTTACTGTTAAAAACTTGGATTATGTCCATTTTCCCCATAGTAACGCAGGAATGTTCATTCTATATTTGTAACAAATACTTTTTATAATCTTTGCCTTTTTGGTTATTTGTGTTGAATAATTTTAAAATTAATTATGCTTACTAATTATATTAAACTGTATTATTTTAATATTAATAATTATCATTTGTATTACATACTTTCTAACTGATTTCCTCAATGATTCTCAAGTTTACCCTTTCTCCAGCAGAACAGGAATGCATATTTTCTAAACCCATGGCCATATTCTTACTTAAATATTTGTTGAGTCAAAAGTGGTATCTTATTTTAATGTGAAACTTTTTCAGTATTAGTATGGCAAAATATATTCATAGTGAAGATGATGATAATAATGACAATGATGATGGTGATGATGATAGAATGATGCATTGGTCTGCTTGTAAGAGCTTTCTTCTTTTCGATTTACCTTATTCTTTCTCCTTAAGTCTGAGTGGAATCTATGTACAAACCCTCTTTAGTACTTTTGTAGAAGCATAGGGATATAACCTTTTGTCAAATATTTTCAAGTTCTCATAATTTCAGTCATTTGTGATTGTCCGAAGAAAATTATAATAATAGATGTAGAGAATAAAAGGTGTGAACACTTGGAAACTGTTGTGCTGAACAACCTAGGACCTGAGAATAGCTCATTTCACCCCATGAAATTACAATGTATGTCAGTTGTTCAGTATTAGTATACCTAGGGAGAAATATGCTGTCTTTAGAAACATAAAATAGCATCACAGTTAACTTCAGGGAATACTGTGAAATTGAAAGCCAAGAGAGTTACAAACATATCAAGGAGCTGTATGGGTTGTTTGAAAGTTCAAGCTAATGAATCATAGTAAAAAATATAGTAGCAATGTGAAGTTTCCAAGTATTGCATATAATAAAGACATGATACAAAAAGCATGTAAATAGAATCTCAGCATTGTAGGGCTGACCACTTGTTTGCTTCCATTGCACATCTGTGCCCCCCCATTTGTGTATCCTGGCTATGTGTGGCAGGATGGGCAAACAGCTCTTTACAAGAGGCAACACACTTGTCAGTGTCAGGGTGGTACTGCCCGCTGCCCCATCCTAGATGGCCTGGCCCAGTTCATAGTTGGGCAGTTTCCAAGGACTGACCTAGTTTTCTTGAGTTTGTTTGGTGAGAGTTTTTGTGGTAACACTGGGCAGCACTTGATCCGACAGCTAACTAACTGCTAAAAAAGAAAAAAAAAAGTGTGAGCCACTCCACAAGCACTGGATGAACACTCAATGCTACTAGAACTATCTAACCTCAGGGATTTTTGGTTTTGTTTTGTTAACGTAATTACTAATTGCCTTTTCTAACCTGAATCCATCATATTCTGGCTGATTCACAAAAAAGAGTGCAGCTTTTGATTATTATTCATTACCTTAAAAAAAAAACCAAGAAAACTCTAAAACTATTTGAAGATATACAATGCAAAACAAAACAAAACAAACAATGAAAAGAACAGCAGCAATGAAGGCCCACGATTTTGGCTTTTATTTCCTATTCTACCAGGGGAATAAACATTTTATTCACCCTGGGATTTAGTGTAAAGTGAGCTAGTTAACATTTAACACAAGCCAGATGCTGTGGACCTTGTGCTAATTCCAATTCTTCTGCTGCAGGTGAACAACAGTCTCCTCAGCTTATTCAGAAAAGCTTTACAACTTTGTCCAACCACACATTTCTACTCATCTCTCACTCTCCAACTGTTCTCCCATGAATTTTGGATTCTCAACTTACCAGATCTTTTCACATCTCCAAGACCTTGTGGGTGTTATTCAGGTATTCAAGAATACTCTTTGCTCTATGTCCTGGAAGATTGTGTTCTACCTTCAATATTCTGCTAAAAAAGATTTGATTCCCTTTCCTAACGAATCCTATCTCCTCTCCCTCCCCGCATGATGCTTCTTCCTATGTTTCTTCCATTATGTTTACCAATCTGTACTTAACAAACTATGCAATAATTGTTTACTTATTTTTCAATACTAATGTGTTTTAAGCTAAAGTTCTGCACATAGCATGGTACTAAGCAAGAGAGGAATTTTAGATATTCCCTTTGTCCTCAGATTACTTAGAATTGTTAAATTAGGTTTATCCTAAAAGTTTCTTCATACATAGTGTATTTAACTTGATGTGTGGATGGACTGTAACCTACTCTTGTAACAAGTAGACAAGTCTCAGCCAATCACAGTGGCTGAATTTCAACCATAGCTAGCCAACTGTTCAAACCAGGTTCAAATAAGGCAAACATCCAGCTATAACCAGTCTAGCTCTTTCTGTACCTCACTTTTATTTTCTGTATGTCACTTTCCTTCTTCTGTCCTTAGATGCTATCAGACCATGTGACAGCCCAGGAGTCGTTCTGAATCTATTCTGGTTCTGGAGGCTACACAATCCACAAATCATTCTTTGCTGAATTAAACTGTTTAATTTCACTACAGTTTTTCTTTTCAACAGAATTTAATTTTCAAGTGTCACAAAACAAGGTATATTTATTTGCAAAACACTATGTGCAAATAAAAAGGTATTGGAGTCTTTAACATAATCCCTGTAAATTCTAAAGTGGCTATATGAATATGTGGCCTTATATAGACACAATTCGGCACTGAAAAATGCTCTAAATATGCTCTTGTAAATATTTAAGTGTTTTTCATTAGGAATTGTTTTATGTGAAGTTAATGGCATCACTAACAGCACTTGAAGTTATTTCTCCTTTGGAAAGAGAAAGGGGAAAATATTTTCAAGAATTCTATTTTGGGTATTTAGAAAAAGTCATGGTGATTTCATCACAGAAGTTGTTCATGCACTAGAATTCTCCCATGAGAACTTGTAACACACCATTAAAAAACAGAATTTGAAGAAATTCACAATATAAGGTTGTTATTACTAAAAATCACACAATAGAAATTTCTGTTATGGGTTGAGATAATTTTTACTGTGATAATTTGAAATAGAAGACAGCAAATAAAGACAGCGTTTGAAGAAAATGACATATTTAACTAGTGAGCTCCTTCAGTTTGCACTAAGGTATTGTGGGTAACTTCAATCAACATATCTAAACACACACTGAAAGAACTATTTTCACCAGGCCTACACTCTGGAAGGCAGTTCAAGCCTGAAAGCTTTTATATGAATATACTGAATCTCTTCAAAAGCTATTTGTGTAGGCTGTAGTTAAATATAATTTTATTTCATTTTCTAAACTCTCACAGTTTTGTACCTTTATCTTGAAAGTTAGAAAACAAAAGGTTTCTGCTTCCTAATTCCACATCCCTGTGGAAGAAGTTTCTTTCCTTCCTGGCTCTATTCTTCTTAACATCTGGCTAAGATTCTGTTTTTCCCTTCTTAGCAAACCATGGAGAAGAAATGGAGTTGTCTTGTTTTGCTACTTGGAGGAGTGACAGGGCTTTATTCTTAATAAATGTTGGAGGAGAAAGTGGAGAGATGGCCTGAGGTCAGAAGGCAAAGTTGTGGACAAAATAGTCACCACATTAATCCCTACTTTTCTTCAGAATGTTATATACAATAAGGATCAAAATAATAAAAGAATAGAAATTGTCCTTCAGGCTAGAGGATAGGCATAGGGTGGGAGACAAGAAGGGAAATAAGTAGGATAAATTGCTGGAAATAATCAGACTTTTCATGGAAGTTAGTACAAGGTGCAAATTCACATCAATATCCCTTTTAGTTGGGTGCCAGTGTCAGAATAGAGAGTATACAAAATGTTGTGGGGATACCATGAGAAGAACTCACTAGGAGAGATTAAGAAAGGCTTCAGTGAGAAAATGACATTTCAGTTTCATCTTGAAGATTTATGATACAGGCAGTTGGTGAGAATGTTTCAGGCACAAAAGACGCCAAAAATAAAATCAGAAAGACAGGAAACAATGCATTTAGAAGAAAGTTGGAGCTATTTTCCAGATTCCTGAAAAGCAGTAGCTGTTGACTTGGGCATTCTGAAAAGCCTGGACCTGGAATTCCCTCCAGAAATCTCTGGTACTCACAGTCTTTTCTCCTGCTGCCACTGCAAATTAGAGGAAGTGATGAGTTGCTAAGAGTCGTACTAGGGAGTCAGCAGACTGTGGCCCCTAAAGATTCACATCTTAATTTTGTTATAAAAAACCTTTGCTTATAAGACTGAAATCACTTTACCTTAAACCAGAGATTCTTTCTTCTTGCTCTTCTGCCTTTTTGTGGGAAATAAATCTACTGCATCTTTTAAATTGGATTCTCACCATTGTTTAGAAAACATTGCACTTTTTAAATTGACTCTTGTCAAGGGGATCATTATATGCCCTTACCAAAAATTGCCACTTTGGTATGCAAAGTATTTTGAACTGAAGGCAATTGAGAAGCAGCAAACATTGGAGGAAACCCTGTGTTCCCCCTTCCTGCCTAAAATCCCAGCATGTATTTCCTTTCTGTAAGGAAAGAAATAGCATTTCTATTTTAAAGGAAATTGTCATTTGTAAAGGTATACTCCTTTCTTGTAGGAAGAGGAGAATTACTGTAGACTACGTAACAAGGCTTACTAAATAATCCTTATTTATCATATGATATGGTTTGGCTCTGTGTCCCCACCCAAATCTCATGTCAAATTGTAATCTGCATTGTTGGAGTTGGAGGTGGGGTTTGGTGGAAGGTGATTGGATCATGGGGACAGTTTCTAATGGTTTAGCACCATCCGCCTAGAGATCTTGTTGTTTAACAGTGTGTAGCACCTCCCTGCTCTCTCTCTTCCTCCTGCTCTGGCCGTATCAAGATGTTCCTGCATCCTCTTTGCTTTCTGCCATGTTTGGAAGTTTCCCGAGGCCTCTCAGCCATACTTCCTGTACAACCTGCAGAACTGTGAGCCAATTAAACCTCTTTTCTTTATGAATTATCTAGTCTCAGGTATTTCTTTATAGTAGTGCAAGAAGAATATACCATACACATCCTGTCACCCTCTCACAATTTATCCATCCCTCCCGAAGAAGCCCAAAGCCCCCTTTGTCTTTTCTCTTTTCTACACTATACCGTACTTTGTTAAAACTGTATAAAAGTCTTCAGATCTAACCAGGTTTTTGGGATTTTGACTTCATATCGGTGAGATCCCCTAAGTGCATATAAAATAAATATCTTTTCTAGTTAATCTGTCTTTCAATAGTTTCATTTGCAGGCCTCAGACATTGAACCTAAGCCAATAGAAGAAAGATTTTTTTTCTTATTATTTTTCCCCCCTCTACACTTGCTTGCATTTATTGGAATGGTCATCCCAAGTCTTTTGCATATACCAGTCATATCTATCTCAACCACTATCTCCAAGTCCCCTTTTGCTGAAGGTAACTCTGACTTTGACTAGTATACTGAGATTGAAATTTTCATATATACTACTTTACCCAAACTCATTTCTTCCCTAATAAACAGAAATCAGGAGGCTCCCACAGTGAGAGTGGCCTGAGGGTGTGTGTGAGGGTGAAGATTGGGAAAATGAACTGTGGCAGGGTATGCAGCAGTTCAGCAGAGTAGGTAACAGAAGTGAGTAAATGTCCCCAAGCTAGAGGATTGTCCATATCGCAACAGTATTTGGCTATAGATGTGACTCCTGGTGGAGCAAGGGCAGAGAGGAACCTATACATGAGGAAGTATAGGAAAAGGAGGACTGGAGACATTTTAACACAAGACTTTGGAAGGGACAAGCCTGGACCCATTAAAGGGCCAAGGTCAATTTAATAGTCTGAGCTTTATGTTTTTCCCTCTATGCCTTAATTAACTTCCCTTTGCTTCCACATAATTTTCCCCATTCCTGAGTTGTATCTTTGCTCCAGCACTTCTAGGTGATAACTGACAATTTCTACTTTTTCAGTTAGATTTGCTTTTTGACTTTCTGATTTACACTTCTAGGAAAGACACACATTCATTTCCTAATGGATTACTCCTACTTGTTTCTCCTATTTGGAGAGTTAGTATTAGCAAAATGGTTAAGAAGTAAGTTTTCCTAGCCAGGCTTTTATCATTGGATCAAATCCTGATCCTGCCACTTTTGAACTGTGTAAACTCGGTCAAGTTTCATAAACATCCTAAACCATTGTTTTCTTACCTGTAAAATTGGAAAAATCAAATACCTACTTGAATGAACTATTGTTAGCATTAAACAATACCTGTTAAGCACTTGTCATACTACCTGGCACATGGATATATTATCATTAGCAGCAGTAACAGCAGCACCATAGTTAGCACTCCTGTCTTTTAAGCCCTCACTTATTTGCTAATTAGTTGGTGTCTGAAACTCAGACTCTAGCTACTCCTACCTCCCAAAAATGCTTATGAGTATTGTGAATAGTCATTTAATCCCCTTCAGCCAAAAAGTTTTGCTTAGAGACACATACTCAGAAAAAAAATTAGGTAGTTTCATGTTGTTTTCAAATTGTTACCAAAAGGCTTTGAAGTTCAGTCTAGGTCCTGCTGCTCACAACCCAGAAAGCCAATCACTGAGACAACAAGTATTGTCAGGGAAGAAGGCTTTAATCTGGTGCTGCAGTAGAGGAGGTGGGAGATCAGTCTTGATTCCATCTCCCTGATCAACTAAAGTTAGAAGTTTATATAGTAAGGGAGAAATCTAACCATGTGTGGGGAAACAGGAATTAGGGGGAGGGGTAAGGAAGAAGAGTTGGTGCAGGAAGCAGGGGATTGGTTAGGCAATCATGATGATTGAGAGGTCTGGCATCTCATTGTCCAGATGCAGTGACCTGGTAAACTTCAGTACTTTGATCCCATCTGGGAGTCCTGATAGTCAGTTTTATGAG
The DNA here is from genome assembly GCF_000001405.40 of Homo sapiens. Classification (NCBI taxonomy): domain Eukaryota; kingdom Metazoa; phylum Chordata; class Mammalia; order Primates; family Hominidae; genus Homo; species Homo sapiens. Next base: position 84,669 of record NT_187530.1, on the reverse strand, counting down.
AAAGAAACTCAGATAAGACAAATGTAAGTGTCTCAAGTTTCAAGACTCAGATGGTTAATTTATATGTTGATTCAAAAGAAGCCATAAGCATCAGTTCTACGGGACAATTACACAAGTTTCAAAATAAAGTCTATTCTCATGGCTTGATATTTAGGAAGTTCTTCAACATGACACATAATTGCATGTTGCTTGCTCTTTTGTAAACCTTGCTAACCACCCTAATTAAATTCTGCATAGTTCTTCATAAGTGTCTGAAAATGTTTTGTTTAACATATTGGCTGACGTCATTTCACTACCACCAACTACCTTCATTAATATGTGTTCATTCATTTTTACATATTATGCATTGAATTTCTATTTATCCTTCAGCTCTCACTTGAAGCCTCTCCTAATAATTATGGCAGGAAATGCCTTCTTCTCTTTGAACACCTATAGGGTTATAATTGGAACTGGGCTGGAAGTGAGGGAAGCCAAATAGGAAGCAAAACACAATCAAACTCACAGTTATTGTTATTTAAAAGCCCCATATTAAAAAAGGATAACCTAGGATAATGGCATTCAGAAGGATGAAGCCTCAGTAGAAAATAGAAGGGCTCAAGCATAGGTAAAAGATTTCAGTCATTTGGAATGATGGGGAGTGGAAATTGGGGAATTGCAGAACCCCATCCCTCTGCCACTGGAATATAAACCAGCACAGGGACACACGCATGATGGAGGCCATCCAAGTGAAGAAACATAATACTAGAAGAAGGTACAAGGCAAAGTTTGTAATAACATATATGAGGTCTGCCTGTAACAGTCCCAAATTATACTCATTTTCCTGGTGTAATTTTTAATAACATTACTTTTACTTGAAAATGTATCTTGGGCTGAGCAACAACATACGTGACCCCCATATTCACATTAGTCATAAGTTAAGAAAGCAAGAGATGAGTTACTGGCCTTGGCACAATTTCAGAGCAAGACTCCGTGATATTTGGCTCCCCGTTTTGTTTATCTTTCAGGTGGTCTTTTTCCTTTTTTCACCCGGCTGAAATTCTATCTTTAAAGGCACATTTTAAATCCCTTTTCTGGCCAACTGAAATGGACTGTCCCATATCTGTACCTTGAAAACACAGTATGCACCATTTATATAATACTTATTACATTAATCTGTATTGTTGTTCTCTTTTCATGGAGATACGATAGGTAATCTGAAAGTCAATGTTCTGTGATAAATTCATATCAGATTCATGCAGGAAATAAGTGTGCCATGTTTCCAGAATGAACCTCCCACTCATACTATTAAGTACAAAACTGTTAAGGATTCCATAGTCTAAATCATTTTCTTTGATTCAAGAGGAGTTTTTTTTTCTTAATCAAGAAAAAAATATTAAAAACCACTAAGTGTCAGAGTTTACTCAAGTTGGTAGTGTTGTCTCATGGGTAAAAATTAGAAAAAAAATAAATCACTGGTGTCATGGAACTTGTAACCTAATGGAGGAGGATAGACAACACAAAGAAACAGAAAGATGGATAATCTTTCAAACTCACAATCTCAACAAATTGTCCTACTTAAAACTGCAATTTCTTATCAGCAGTAAGCATTTGTCACCAGCTGACATATTATATCTTTTATTTGTTGATTTGATTAATACCTTTTTCCTGCAGCTAGAATCTGTTTTATTTATTTGTAAACCCAAGGAGTATAGAATAGTGTATATTAGAGAATGGGACTTCTATAAATAGCTGTTGAATGAATCAGCAAATTATATATGTTAGAAGGTGATAAGTGATAGCAAACTTAGGAGAAAACAGTTGCTATCAATGATACAGAGGTGGTAGTGGCAGGTTGTGATTTACAATTGGGTTATCAGTTAAGCCTCATTTGGAAAGTAACAGTTGCACAAAGACTTGAAAGAAAGAGTGAGCCATGCCTGGGAAAGGCAGAGCTGGCCTGACATCCATGGAACAGCAGTGGTCCTGTGGGCCTGAAGCCCAGGGTATAAGTGAGAGTAGTGAGAATGAGCAAAGAAGGGGAAAGGGCTGGGAATGCAGCAGAAAGTATAGTCCCTTATAAGGACATGGGCTTTTACTCTGATTAAGAAGAAATCTTATGATCTCAGTAGTTCAAAATTAAGGATGATTTTGTATCCAAAGAAACATTTGGTAATGTCTGGAGACATCTTTGGTTGTCACAACTATGAGGAGGAGATGCTACTGGCACCTAGGGGTAGAGGTCAGGGATGCTGCTGAATACACATTTTATAATATACAGGACATGCCCACAACAAAGTATCATCTGGCCCAAGGTGTCAATATTGCAATATTGCTGGAATTTAGAAACCCTGATTTAACTTTTCAAGGGATGATTCTGGCTGCTGTACTGAGAATACACACAGAGAGGGTAAGGGAAAACACAGGGAGGCCCATCAGGAGCAACTGAAGTAATCTAGTGAGGAATGATTCTAGCTCAGATTACGGTGGTAGGAGTGGAGCTACTGAGTAGTGCTTGGATTATAGGCATGGCACAAAGGTGGAGTCAATAAAATAACACCGATGTCCTGCATTTGGGGTGTGAGAGGAAAGGAAAGTCAAGAACAACCCTAAGATTTTTTATTTAATTTCTAGAAGTAAAGAATTGTCATCAATGGGCATGGGGCTGACTGGGGATGCAGTAGGATTTGGGGGATGTGGTAGAAATCAGATATTAAGTTGGTAACATGATTTTGCCTGTGTCCCCACCCAAATCTCATGTTGACTTGTAATCCCGTGTAGGAGGAGGGGCCTGGTGGGAGATTGGATCATGGGGGTGGTATCTCATGGTTTGGCACCATCCCCCTAGTGCTGCTTGCTTAAAGGTGTGTAGTACCTCCCCCTCCTTCCTTCTGGTCCCACCATGTAGATGTGTTTGCTTCCCCTTTGCCTTCTACCATGATTGTAAGTTTCCTAAGGCCTCCCCAGCCTTGCTTCCTGTACAGCCTGCAGAACTGTGAGTCAGTTAAACCTCTTATAAATTACCCGGTCTCAGGTCATTCTTTATGGCAGTGTGAGAACGGACTAATACAGTTTGGGATATGTTAAATATGAGAAGCCTCTTAGACATCATTGCGGTTCAGAACATGATGCCCCAAAGTATGGTCCCCTGGCAGGCTGAGCACTTTTGAGCTGAAAAAGGCAGGAGGGCCTCGGAAAAGCAACAGGGCCTATCTCTGACTTTCTCCTTTCTTCTGTTTCCAACCCTTATTTTTTTCCTAAAACAAGCTATAAAACCTAGAAAGTTCACTCTTTGACCTACCTCCCATGAAAGTAGATCATAAGACCCTCATGTGACAAGTAGTCCTTCCTTCTACCCAGAGGAAAGAAATGCTACACAGAGAGGCCAAAAAGAATCTGAACAGGCCTTGCCAAATTTCCCCCAGCTTGTCACCATTAGGTCATACTCCATTTTTGTCCAGTCATATTTCTCCACACCTCTCCACTTCTTCCCTCAGACTCAGCATAAAAATACACACTGTTCCTTAGGTCTTTGAACCTTAATTTCTGAAGCCTCTCATGTCACATAAAACTTTGTTAAATAAATTTGTGATGCTTTGCTCTTGTTAATCTGTCTTTTCTTATAGGAGTGTCAGTCATGGACCTTGTGGTGGGTGAGGAAAAGACGCTACTTTTTCTCCCCTGCAACAGCTAGGTGGAGCTATCAGATGTGTAGTTGTTTAGGTGGATGTGGAGTTAGGAAGAAATGTCTAGGCTTGCGTTATATATTTGGGAATTATCAGTGTGTGGGTCTTATTTAAATGTGATATCAAGCGTGTGAATGCAGAAAGTAAAGATGAGAATCAAGAATGGAACCCTAGGGGACGCTAATGTGAAAAGATTACAGAAAATTAGGGAAGGGATTATAAGAAAGTCTGAAACAATGTCATTTCCTCCACACATTCATAGAGCTCCAGGCCCACAAATACTTGGGTTTTTATTTTTTAATTTCCCTGCTATATCTAGGTACTTGGGGCTGTCACCAGTGCCCCTAGAATCCATCCATCTTAAGAAGAAAAAGGTCTTTCATCTCAGCTTTCTAGCAGTTCTTTGTTTTTTAGTCTGCCGCCTCTCTGCTTTCCAACACCTGGTCTTTGATGTTATTGCCTCCAGTGTCCGCATTCTTCCCCCTTTCTCCTCTATAGCAGCTACTGCTGATCTCATGTTCGCTGGCATTCTTTCCATCCAACTGATTTCATCTCTAATCAAACAACTAGAGTTCCTTGCTGATTTGCTTTCATATATGTGTGTGTGTGTGTGTGCATGTGCACGTGCACACATGTGTTTAGTATAAGTACCTTAGGAGATTTCAGTATGTGTAGTTACAATCCCTACTCTCAGTTCCTGCATGATGCTAAGTTGTATCTTGTCCCTGGGCTTTTTAACCTGCTGTTTCCAATTCCTAGAACACTCTTTTCTTTTTCCTTAGACTAGGGAGCTCTGCTTCATTTCTGAAATCTCCATTAAGAGGCCAGAGAACTTTCCCCAAGCTTCCAAGTTTGGTTTTGATGACCTTGTGTTTATTTTTACATTAAACACACACCATAGTCATCACACCATATTGCTTTTTTTTTTTTTTTTTACTTGTTGGCAACCTTGATTTAAACACTACCTCCTTGAAGGTAATGTCTCTGTCCTGTTCACCATCATATCTCTACTATATAACACAGGGTTATAATATATAACCTTATATATTATAAAATTTTATAATTTAAATTATATAATTAAACTCTAATTAGTAAATCAATTTATATGTTTTGTACTTTTAATCAGGTTGAGGATAATTCAGGATGAAATCACATGACTTTATTTGCCTCAGCACCCAGTGCATTGCGTGGTATAGAATTGAAAGTATGTAAATAATTGTCAATTGATGTAACTGAATTCATACTATGAATTTCTCTATTCATTTGAATTTCTTCACCTACAATATTCTTGCCGAAAGGAAGTCATGTCCTACCCTGAATATTCCCTTGGGTCATCAGTTCTGAATGATACAAAATTTAAATCAAATCAAATATTTTTCTTCTTTTGCTGTCAGTAGAGAGACTAAAATGGGAAAGGTGAGAGGAACAGAGAGAAATGATCAGATTAGCAGCTTTGAAACTGTACAGAGTTGTGGTATTTTGGCAGCCAAATATGAATATTAGAGTGTTGTATAAAGATCAGGCAATGTAAAAATGCTTTAGGCGAAGTAGAAATGTTACTATAGTAAACAATGGACTAACAACATTCCTGAAGCTCTGTAAGTTAACCTCTGTGCGGCTCTGACTTTGAAACAGGTCGATTGCTGATGCGTATAAATATTCCTTTCTCTTTTTCAAAGGTCAATCAGCTTTTGTCTTAAAAAGAAACAGATAAAAATCAATCAAGCTATGGAAAATACAAAAAGAGAAATAAGGCTGTAAAATTAATGAAATGTATGATTTTACCTAACTGGAGATGTGAATCTTAATACCGTTTTGGCAGATCAAGCTGACCAACTTATTTATGAATTCTCAAACATCACACTATTCCATGCTTTTATATCAGCTATTATCTTTACTGACAATGTCCTCCACAGTTCCCAACAGCAACAACATATATAGCTCTCTCCTATTCATTTTTCAGTGTTTAATTCTTTGATAATCCCTTCTAAACCCACACCCACACCCATACCCCCCCACATACACCCATACCTTAATTTGATTTAGATCCCTCTTCTCTAGGATTCTATAGCATCATATTCATAATATTTTATAGAGCTTAATCTACTCTCTTAAACTTGTTAGTTTTCTTGTCTAAGTTTTCTAATAAGCTGTGATTAATTGCAAATCATGAAACCATGTTTTTCTCAGTGCTATATTTCCCTGTGCCTAGCATCCTAGAACAAAATAAATGCTTACTAAATGTTGAGTGATTCTAGCCAAGAATAAATGAATCTGCCTATGAAATCATGGAAATCAAAGTTGAAGATATTTGCTATGGTGGCCTTTTCATTTGAGAATTTCATTATGGGAAAGTCAACCTTAATTAATAAAAAAACTCTTTGAATCAAATTGCTTTGGAATGATTTCAAAATGTATTTGTTTTCCTTCTCAGTGAGATAGCTTTAGGAATTTGTCTTTAAGATGACACTAACCCTTCAGGTTTGAATAGGCTACAGAATGCCTTTGAAGTCTTAAGACCTATCAAGGCTCTTCTGTAGAGCTTGGTGGTATTTAGAGGATGTCTGTTTCTCTGATTTAATATCTTTTTAAATCTATGACTTGTGTGATTAACCAAATCCAAAATAACATTACACACTAAATAAGAAAAGGGAAAGGGCTAGAAACCTTCCCTTTGTTGATGTCTTTCTTTTTGTGTATTTCTGGTTCATCCTCTTGAAGCTTTGCTACATAGAGTAATGTTTGTATCTGCGGTCTTCGAAGGCCATTTGTGGATTTATCAGTTCATTATTGCCCCTAGAAGTCCAAAACACAGACATTTATCCTCTTGTGACTGAACTATTCCCTTCAATCTAAGAGAAAAGAAAATGAGACTGCTTCAGCCGCACTTAATGCTTCGTGTGAAACAGAATAGATGGTGTTTTGTTCTTGTGTAAGTTCCTATGGGGTGGGATCAGAGTGTTTTTCATCCATCTGACTATGCTGAGAAATAGTGACCAGTTTGCCCATGTTCTTGTCTGCTTTTGAAATGGAATATTAAAGACTTAAAAGAGGACATTGCGATATCTTAAAGTGAGTTTCTGAATTATAATAGTACGATAAAGGGAAGAGGCAGGATTCTCATAGGGAAAACCTGCAGGCTTCAGAGCCAAACGGACTTACATTCAAGCCCTTGCTCTTGCTATGGAACACAGTAATTGTAAACTGGATGAAATTAGTTAATTCTCCAAAGGTCAGATTATTCAACTGTAAGAGTGGAGGATACTGAAATTTCGTTCATGAAAATTATTGTACACTGAAACAATTTAAAAATGCAGAGATGACGGCAGGGACAGAAATAAATGTCCATTTGTAGAGAGGATACTATGTGTTCAGCTGTAGAGAGGATACTGTGTGAAATGTGCATGGCACTAGATTAGGTGCTTTTTTATGTTTTATGTCTGCAAAGTTTCACAGTAGGCCCTAAACAGCAGTAAGCCACAAATGACAGCTACTTTTCCTGTAACAAAAAATTCCCAAATGAATGTGGCATATGAATTACTAACATTTAATGTTAATTATTTCTAAATTTCTTTTTTATCTCACTTCTTGGATAGTTTAGTATAGACTCGGTAGGCAAACCAGCTTTCGTTCAAAGCTAGGCTCTAGCGTTAATGGCTATGTGACCTCGGACAAATGTCCTACCATACCTTACAACCATGTTCCACAGCCTGGGCTCCTGTTCCAGATTCACTTCTTTTTTACATTTTATTTTTATTTTTGTTTTTTTTTAATTATTTATTTATTTTGATACCTGGTCTTGCTCTGTTGCCCAGGCTGGAGTGCAGTGGCATGACCATAGGTCACTATGGCCTTGAACTGTTGGACTTGAGTGATCGTCTCACCTCAGACTCCCAAGTAGCTGTGACTAGAGGTGCGTGCAACCATGATCTTCATCTTTTTTTTTTTTTTTTTTTTTTTTTTTGAGACAAACTTTTGCTTTTGTGGCCCAGGCTGGAGCACAATGGTGTGATCTTGGCTCACTGCAGCCTCTGCCTCCTGGATTCAAGCTATTCTCCTGCCTCAGCCTCCAAAGTAGCTGAGATTACAGGTGCCTGCCACCATGGCCAGCTAACTTTTGTATATTTAGTAGAGACAGGGTTTCACCATGTTGACCAGGTTGGTCTTGAACTTCTGACCTCAGGTGATCCACCTGCCTTAGCCTCCCAAAGTGCAGGGATTACAGGCGTGAGCCACTGCATTTGGCCCTCCCCATCTCTTAATTGCTTAATAAATTTAGGAAAGTTACTCCTTAAAATTCAAATACAATAAAACTCAGTAATACCATGATCTGAGCTCACATTCAGGGGGATTGGACCAAGTTCTCTCTCTCTATCCCCTTCTACAGCAGGGATGGCCTAAAATTCTCATTTTCAGAGATGGTTGGGAAAGAAAGTGACTAAATCCCAATATCCCTAAATAGGGCCAGTAAAATGAGCGCAAACTCACTTAAAGATTCCTAGAATGTTCCTTTTGCTGTACAGAAGCCTTTTAGTTTAACATAGTCCCATTTGTCTACTTTTTGTTTTTGTTACCTGTCTTTTTGAGGTCTTAGCTATAAAATCTTTGCCTAGGCCAACATCCTGGAGTGTTTCCCCTATGTTTTTCTCTAGTAGTTTCAGAGTTCCAGGTCTTTTGTTTAAGTCTTTAATCCATTTGTAGTTGATTTTTGTATATAGTGAGAAACAGAGGTTTCATTTCATTCTTTTGCGTATGAGTATCCAGTTTTCCCAGCACCATTTAATAAAGAGGGTATCCTTTTCTCAACATATGTTCTTGGCACCTTTGTTGAAAATCAGTTGGTTGTAAATATGTAGATTTATTTCTAGGTTCTCTATACTGTTCCATTGGTCTATGTGTCTGCTTTTATATCAGTACCATGCTGTTTCAGTTACTATATCTTTGTAACATATTTTGAAGTCAGGTAGCGTGATAACTTCAACTTTCTTCTTTTTTTTAGTATTTCAAAGAGATAAATATCTGCACCTTATATTTATTGCAGTGCTATTCACAATAGCAAAGACATGGAATCAACCTAATTGTCCATAAAAGGATGAATGGATAAAGAAAATGTGATATATATATAGAGAGAAATACTATTTAGCCATAAAAAAGAATCAAATCCTATTATTTGCAACAACATAGATAAAATTGGAGTTCGTTATGTGAAGTGAAATAAGCCAGATACAGAAAGACAAACAATATGCATATTCTCACTGATATATGAAAGTTAAAAGAGTTAATCTCATGGAGTCAGAGATGAATGATGCTTATCAGAGGCTAGAAAGGGTGTTTGCCATGGTGGGGTGATGAATAGAGGTTGGTTAATGGGTACAAACATACAGTTAGATAGAAGGAATAAGCCTAATGTTTGACAGCAGAGTAGAGTGACTGTCATTAACAACAATATATTGTATATTTCAAAATAGCTTAAAGAGAGGGCTTGAAATGTTCCAAATACAGAAATGATAAATATGTGAGGTGATGGATATCCTAACTTGATCATCACATATTCTATATGTGTAACAAAATATGACATCTACCCTGTAAATATAAACAATATGTATCAATAAAAAAAATTTTTTTTGAGACAGAGTCTCACTCTGGCACCCAGGCTGGAGTGCAATGGCATGATCTCGGCTCTGCAATCTCTGCCTCCCTGGTTCAAGCAATTCTCCCACCTCAGCCTCCCAAGTAGCTGGAACTACAGACTTATGCCTCCACACCTGGTGAATTTTTGTTTTATTATTATTATTTTTAGTAGAGATGGAGTTTTGCCATGTTGGGCAGGCTGGTCTCGAAATCCTAACCTCAGATGATCCACCCGCTTCGGCCTCCCGAAGTGCCAGGATTACAGGCCTGAGCCCCCGCACCTGGCCAAAAATATATTTTTTTAATTCCTAGAATGATTAAAACTGTCCTAGGAATAATACATATGGACCTATCAACAATGCACAGGTAGGTGGTGGCAAACTCTAGGCAGCACTCATAGAAACTAGGATTTCACTGGACTAGTACCCTCTCTCACCTTCACCACCACTGCAGACATCACCACATTAACCACGTGACTCACACTGGTCATTCCATGAAGCTGCTAATAACATGGCACATTTTATGTGATGTTTACTTTTTGAACTCCACTTGTAGTTGGTCTTGCTGTCATATACTAACACCTACCTCCAGGGATACTGTGAGGATTGAATAAAATAATCCACATAAAGCACTTAACATTGTAACTGGCACTCAGCAAATAAAAGTAAGTGGTGACTAGTTATTGTTAATTTAAACACAGATCTAGAAGTAAAAGGAAGCCTTATGTTTCAGTGACATTTTGTTGCCTTTTCCCATAAAACAATACGGTATTTTTTATTCATACTGACACAGTAAAATAAAATAATCATATGTATAGATATGTATATATAGATATGATCTATATACCTATCATTATAGAATTATTTCAAAAGATAAGTGTTTCAGGCTCTAGAAATGTCAAGAAACAGTACAATTCAGTTAGAAGTGCCTGTACCTCTCTGGGTGCAAACATATTCAGAAGCATTGGGCACAGCCATAAGACTGGAAGAAGACTCTCCAATGGGAACAGTTTTTTCCTGAATTGAACTGAGAAGACCGATTTGAAAAATGAGGCTCTTCAGAGAAAGCAAAAGCCATTATCCTGGTTAAATACTTACATTTACTTGTGAGTGAAGGTTGACTATTGTGCAACATCAACATATTTTAAATTGCTATCCAGACATCTAAGTTCTGTGTCCTCCCACTGCAAAAATAAATAACTGAAAGACATGTTTGATCCCTTGTCTCTGAACTTTTATATTGTTCTCAGGTTGAATAGAAAGACTGGAATCATAATCATAGATACTGTACAATTTCTTAGAATAATAAAAGAGCAGCAATATGCTAGTGAGTCTGTGTAGAACTCATTCTACACATTCTCCTCATTCTGAGTAGAATGGCATATGCAATGGTAGAGATCAAATACAAATATTTAAATAAGTTATAAGCCAACCACTCTTGGAATTTTGCTTGTAAATAATCATTTCTTACCAGTTCACTTTCCTCCTCCTCCTCCTCCTTGTTCCCCTCCATCCCCTCCTCTCCCTCCTTCCCCTCCTCCTATTCCTCCTCTCCCTGTTCATCTTCTTCCTTCTTCTTTCTGACAACATACTAGAAATCATTTGAAATATCTGCAGAAATTGAGTGTGTTGAGGCAGAAATAATATGATAAAAGTTTATTAGAAGCCAAGTAGGAGGATTGACCAGAGAACAAACAGCAAGAAAGTTTGGGAGTGTGCTGGAGTCTGGTACAAGTTGAAAGACTTTTATAGAAAAGTTTAGGAGAAAGGGTCGGAGGGTGGGTGGTTGTCACGCCAGAGTTGTCGTTTTTATTTGGAAGGTACAATATAGAAGTTGCAATCATTGGCAACATACAGGCTAAAATGCCTGCAATGCAAAACCATCATAAACATCATGATTCAGAAATAAATCAGTATCTTTTTCAGTGTCATTAGGTTATGAATTAATAAGTGCATAAATAATTTCAGCAACTCATGATTCTTTTTTTTTTTTTTTTTTTGAGACGAAGTTTCACTGTTGTTGCCCTGGTTGGAGTGCAATGGTGTGATCTGAGCTCACTGCAACCTTTGCATCCTGGGTTCAAACAATTCTCCTGCTTCAGCCTCCCGAGTAGCTAGGATTATAGGCATGTACCGCCATGCTCTGTTAATGTTGTGTTTTTAGGAGAGATGGGGTTTCTCCATGTTGGTCAGGCTGGTCTCACACCCCTGACCTCAGGTGATCCGCCCACCTTGGCCTCAAAAAGTGTTGGGATTACAGGCATGAGCCACTGCGCCCGGCCTATGATTCTTTATGCAGAAGAGGATGCCACCATGAATCACAAGGCCTCCCCAAGACAGGTTAATTTAGAAGCCTTTTTACATTTAAAGTAAACTGCCAAATGTGACCTGTATGTTAACAGAAAGCATATTAAAACTGAGTTTTCAATAATCATTCATTAAAGAACACAGGCCAGGTCATCAAGTCAGAAGCAAATGCTTATGGCATATCTTTTACTTTTTAAACTCTGCTAATTCAGGTGCAATTAAATGAATCTCTGGGCTGTTCTAACTCCATCCCTCCATTCTACTTCTGCTTCAAATTACAGTAAATAAATAACAAATGTTATTATGCTTTTGAAGAAATGCGTTAATATGCTAGCCAGTTTTCTGCTGGTCCTCCTAACTGTTCATGCCAAAGTCTTTATCCAAAATTCATCTGTAGCTGTCCACACATACAGAGCATGTACACACACACACACACACACACGCACGCACAGACATCAGCACCTGCATTGTTGTCACCGTTGTGATTACCCTAACATTTAATTTGTAAGCTTTGGAAAGGGTCGATGAAGAAGTTTTGCATATCAATAAAACTACAAAAGTTATATATAAGTCATAAAGTACCAATGAACTGCTTCCATAACTGTTTACTTACAAGTTTCCTTTCATTGTCCAGAAAGAAATACAGATAAAGCAAGGTATGCTCTAATTAAAACTGAAATGCCAATTAATATAGATGAAGTAATACAATTTGTTTGGAGTGTTACAATTTATTGCGACTGACATGATACTTTGGAATTTCCTAATATTAGTAAAGAATGGATGAAAGAAGGAATATTTGTCAGAAAGAGTGTGGGCTTTGGGTCCATAGCTGTGTGGACTTGGGTAAGTTATTTACTTTGGGCCTTTGCTTTTAACTATAATACAAGAATAATGGTAACTACATGGTAGGACTGTTGGAGGGATTTGAGGTGATGCCAATAGTGTTACCTATGCGAAAGGAAACTCTAGCTCTACTAATTATGAGAAGAGTGAGAAAGTGTGTGGAGAGCCTACCAGGCTGCCTGACACAGAGCAGGTCTCCTATGAGCATTAGCACTTCCAGCCCTCACACTCTGGCAGACAAATTCACACACACACAATTTCAAAGAACTGTCTTCTCATAGCAAAAATGCAAAGGAGTTTTAATTATATTCACTGGATAAAAAAGTTAATCTTATTCATTTATGAAAAATATTAAAATTGTTTTTTAAATACACATGATTTGTAAGGATGTTTCTGTAAATAATATAATCTGAACCATTTGCATTTAAAATGGACATGTACCGTCAGAATCTTGTTTCTTTTTTAGCAGGAAATGGTTTAATGACCCAATAAAAATTTCTTTTTTTTTTTCCAAATAACTTTTCCAAATAACACCTTCAGGGTTAGAATAAGAATAGATTCTAAAATAGCTCCAAAGTTGTAATTTAGTATGATTAGTAGCTCAGCTTTTGTAGATAGATGAGAGACATTAATTGTTTTGGCTTTTGTAAAGTTTTTAGAAGTTCCTTGTTGAAGAAAAATCTTACTGAGCAGACTTACAAGTACTTTTATTTGGAATCAATTACATATTATTCTTTGAAAATTTTAGGAAATTCTTAAAAATATTTTTTACTTTGTTACAATTGAAAGCTTTAAATTTATCAAGAAACAAACTGTTTGCTATATAAGTATGTGAAGTTACTCTACCAAAAGGAGAATTATGGAAGGAAAATTATAGTATTTGTTCAAAATACTTCTTCTTGTTCAGCATAGTCCCATCCCAGTGGAACAATTATTCTTGCTGCCCCATTGATATTAGGGTTGGCCATGTAACTTGCTTTGGTCTGACCTGTAAGTGGATGTGGCTTGTTTCTCTCTTGAGCAGCAGCCTCAAGATGCATTATCTGCTTCTGTTGTTCTCTTTTCCTCTGCTACAAGATGGGCAGAGGAGCTCCTCCTTCAGCCTTGTTCCCTGATTAAAGAGAACATCAAAGCTAGTTGCAGCTAATCCACAGCAAATTTGCAACATGCACACTAATCGTTAGTGAACAGCTTGTTGGGTTTTTATTAAAGGAATACACAGATATAAGGACCACAAGGAGCAGGAAAGAGTATTAGTAACTCTGCCGAAACCCTCCTCACGGCTCCTTCCAGTCACTACTTGTCTCCAAAGAAAACACTTCTCCGAATTCTCTTTTCACTAATGAATTTTTGCTGTATGTAATTGTTTGGGTCTGACTTTCTTCATTCAGTAATATTGAGCTTGGTATTTGCCCATGTTGTCATTGGGTAGCAGTTAATTCACTATCATTCCTGTGTAATTCTCCATTGTATGAATATAGCACCATTTTATACCCATTCTACTTTTGTTGAAATTGGAGTTGCAGCAATTTGGAGCTAATACAATAGTGCCACTGTAACATCATTGTATGTATCCTTGGTTACACATATGTACACATTTCAACTAGGTGCATCCTTAAGAATGGCCATGCTGAGTCCTATGTTGTACACGTGTTCTGCATTAATTGATACTGTCATCAGGTTCCAAAGTAACTAACTAATGTATACCTCATACAGCAAAGGATGAGAGCTTTTTCTGCTTCAAATTCTTGCCAATACTTATCTATTGTGATATGGTTTGGATATGTGTCATCACCGAAATCTCACGTTGAATTGTAATCTCCAGTGCTGGAGGTGGGGTCTGATGGGAGGTGTTTGGATTAAGGGGGCAGATCCCTCGTAGCTTGGTGCTGACTTCTTGATGGTGAGTGAGTTCTCATGCGATCTGGTCATTTAAAAGTGTGTGGCACCTCCCACCTCCTCTTTTTCTCTTGTTCCATGTGACATGCCTGCTCCTCTTCATCTTCTGCCATGATCGTAAGCTTCCCAAGGGCTCCCCAGAGGCTGAGCAATGTGAGTCCCATGCTTTTACAGCCTGCAGACCCATGAGCCAATTAAACCTCTTCTTTACCTTTATAAAAAACTCAGGTATTTTTAATAGCAATGCAAGAATGACCTAACACATATTGTTTGTCACTTTACCATTGGAAGGATTATGTGGTGATATCTTTTTGTGGCTCTTACTTGTTAGTCCTGGTGACTAATGAGTTTGCTCACATTTTAATATGCTGATTAGCCATTCGGTAACCTCCTTTGTGAAGCGTCTGTTCCAGTCTTTTGTTCGTATTTCATTTGGATGTTCCATATTGCCTTTTCTTATGATCTGTAAGAGCTCATTATTTATTATGGAGCGAAGGTCTTTGTCAAGAATATGTGGTCCCCATGTCATCCTCTGCACTATAGCTTGCCTTGCCTTTCCATTCTCTTGATACTATTTTCTGACTAAGAAAGGTTCTTAATGGTAAATAATCTAATTTAACATTATTTTCTTCATTATTATTGCTTATTGTGGATCTGCTCCACGATCATGAAAACATCATCTTATACTATCTTCTAGAACTTCTATTATATTATCATTGACATTTAAACTTGCACGTCATTTATAATTGATTTTGTTAATGGCATGAACTGAGGTATCACTTTTCTCTTTTACTGAAAAATCACATTTTTTCTCATTTATTTAGGGACAATGAAGAAAATGGAATTAATTTTCAAGTTTAAACTCACTTTCTAGTAATACAATTTAGCTACAAGAGTTTTTATATGTTTTATTGTTGTATGTGTTGTATTCTTTTTTATTCATTACTGGTATGATTTTATAATATTTTGTTTAGTGCTTTTATTTGTATGTTCACTAGATAAATTGTTTTGAAAATTTTTCCTTGTAATAACCTGGTGAGGTCCTGATATTAAGATTATTTGGACTTAGAAAATGAGTTGAAAAATGTTTCCTCTTTTTTTCTTCGCTAGAGAAGTGAGTTTGGATTGATGCTGTTTCTTCAAATGCCTGGAAGGAAAGACTGACTCTGACAGTTTGGATCACATTTCTGTGCTTTTCCTCTGGGATACTGGTCTCTCAAGCTCCAGCTCTCTTGGTAGCTCTATGATGCTTTCCAACAGATGTGCTTTGCATGTTATCTAGCATTTATCCTTTTTGTTGGTAGAAGACTGGTTTGCTATAAGCTAATCTGTTAAGACAAAAAGTAGCTCTATGCTACTTATTTACAAATTTCCATTATCATACAATCTCTTCAAAAGATTAAAAATACTTTCACCTAGAGATAACTCACAAAAATCCAATTTTTTCAGATCATGTGCATGACCAGATCTACATGCCTAATCTCATTCCCATATCTCAGCTATACAATAAAAGTGTTAAGATAAAAGAGGAGAGATTGGTTGTGTGCAAAATCTAACACTGGAATCTAATAGTGGGATCTAACATGTATTAGTAGCTAAACGGCATTGAAAAGAAATGTCTTGCAGTAAGTTGAGGGTGTTGACAGCAGTTGCATAGTACCCAATGCCCTCCACCAAATAAACAAAACCAAAAAACTTTCATCAACTTTGACCAATGCCTTCAATAGGCAAAGAAACCAGCTCATCACATTGAACTGATAGTTCAAGGTTGCAATTTGGTGCACTGGAAACAGCCTCAAACAAGATAATATCTCCTTTGCTTATAGAGCCAGGACATTCCTAGATTTAAATCCCACATCTACTTTTTAAAATCTGCGTGACTTTTGAAATGCCACTTGGCTTCTATGCACATCTCATTATGTATAAATAGGCTAGTCTCCTACAATCCATTCCCATATAATTGCTGAAATGATTTTAATATATCCTAGTCAAATTTCACCACTCTCTATTTGTGAAAACTTCCAATGGATTTCCATCATCTTTAGATTAGAATACAATTTATTTTGCCAATGAATGTCCTCCTTAAGCCAATGAAATTTCTCCTTCATCCCAGGGCTCTTCTTCAGTAGTCTTCTATGATTTCCACAGCCAGCATCTTTTCCTGTGCTGATCCTTCTACTGGGATCATTATTCCCCCAGAATGTCACATGGGGGCTGCCAGCTTCTCATTCCTCAAATATACACTAAAGCAACCTCTCCTCAGAATTGCCTGCCCCAACCATGGGATAAAAAGAAACTCCTCTTACAACTCCACTCTCACATGATACTCTACTGTATTTTTTTATAAAACTTCTTGCTCTTGAGAATCACCTTGTTTGTTTATTTATTTTTTTCTTCCTCCCTGCCTCCCTGAATATAAGCTACCATGAGACAGAGAACTTTTCTGTCTCTTTTCTCAATTAAATATCCAGTACCTAGAATAGTGTTTGTTATAGCACCAAGAAGACAGTTGATGAATGAATGAATGAATGAGTGGATGAAATATTGTAAAGATGAACTCAAATTAGGCATGAAATCTGGTTAAATAGTAGGTGCTCAGTTAATAATAATTTCCTTCTCCTTTCTTTCCTGTCTTACATCCTCTTCCTAAAAAGACTCCAAATCTGTATCTGCTGCCCCTATGTACAGAATACTAGCCACACCTCACACTTTCCTCTTTAGTTTTACATAGGGGTCACGACCTTTAGTCATCAACTTGTCAATTCAAAGATGGGTCTACCTCCCATGATTTATTTTCAGTTCACTGTGAAAATAAATAGGACTGGGGAAGGGGAGCTCACTCGGCGACGGAGGGCACTCTCACATAGCCTGTGAGTTACTTTTCCAGGGAGCTGGCATCAATCAAGGCAGCCACCAGCTGGTCTGTTGCCATTATTGTGTGATGGGTGCTGCCTTGTAGGAAACAGAAGGCGCAATGAGTCTGGTTATTTATTCATAGAGAAAGATGGATGATCGTCTTGGAAATTTGGGACATTCATTTCACAGTTGATTGTGAAAATAAATAGTTTGGCATTTTTGTTATTTCAAACATATCTTACCTGGATGCAACTAATGTTTTAATCTAAGTTCCAATAGCTTGATCAGACTCACAGCTGGAGATCCCTAGTGGAAATACTGAATTTTGGCAGATTTCCAAGAATGCTGGGAAGGGGAGCTCACTCAGCAATGGAGGGCACTCACACATAGCCTGCGAGTTACTTTTCCAGGGAGCTGGCATCAACCAAAGCAGCCTCCAGCTGGTCTGTTGCCATTATTGTGTGGTGGGTGCTGCCTTGTAGGAAATAGAAGGTGAAATGAGTCTGGTTATTTATTTATAGAGGAAGATGCGTGATCCTCTTGGAAATTTGGGACATTCATGCATGTTAAGACTAACACAAAAATAATGAGACTGATTGTATGTATGTGTGTGCACATGTATGTTTTTGGGCTGGTGGGGAGTCACCAATGATACTTAAGATAAACTGGAGATGATGTCAAAAGTGGGTTGTTGAAAACAAAACAGTAAGAGGTGGCAGTGCCTCAGAAACAAGTTTGTGACCTATATGGGCTTTTGGACAGACAGACTTGAGATCAACTACTTATTAGTAATGCAACTTTGGACATATTATCATGAAATAAAAAATAACATATGCAAAGCACTCAGTACTATTTCAGGCATATAGTGGACCCTTATTAGTGCAAGCTATTGTTATTAGAACCAGTTCTACCTTCGTTATAATTGTGCATAGGGAATTTCACAAATGGAGACATTTATGACAACAAATATCTTTTGATTTTCCCTTCTAAAATTATTGGTCATCCCATCTGCTTACTGCTAATAAGCCTACTTGCATTATCAGAGACCAGAACAGGTTTGACAACACTCAAAAGTTGAATGTCGATTTTCTGTGATAAGCTATTGGTTTCCTGTGCTATCTACAGGCAACTGATCCACTCTTAACTCATATATCTAAGGACACTAGGAGAATTAAATGGAGCTCAAATATAGATCAGAATCCTACTAGGCATTATTGATGCTTTGTCTTCGTTGACATCCTCATTCATCCACATGTTAAAATCTTTATGTAGGAGAAACAGATAATTTCATTGTAACAAAAACACCTGATGATAATGTGTTATGGTTTTGAATAAATTAAGTTCTGTATGCCACAAAATCATGCAGAATCTGTATGTGTGTTTTATAGCCACGTCTGTATCTACTAGGTATTTATGTACATATATGCATATGCTTATGTATATATTTTACTTTATATGTCTGTGTGTTTGTATGTGCCTGTACAGGTCGGTTTCGATGTATGCACATATAGGTGTGTCTCAGTGTGTGTGTGAATTCAAATAAATATGTTTATATATATCTTGAAAATATCTCTAAAATGCAGTGAATATTACTGTCTTTCTGAGAGTCTTTATGATGTACAAAAAAGAGCACAAAACTTGAGTAGCAAGAATTGAAATTTGGGTTATTCAACCTCTGTCTGTGATCCTTAGGTTTATCATGTTATGCTTAACCACCTTTTTGGCCCTCATATGTAAATCTGAATCATAAGATTAGTTTGCAACTGAAATAAAGATGACCTATTAGAACACTATGCCTGGCACATAGTAGATACTGAAAAATGATATGTCTTTTCTTCCCTTCCTCAATTTTCTTCCTTTCTTTAGAAAACAGTTACTTCAATGCCACATGGTTTTATTGACATCTAAAGTGTATATACAATTGATTTTTAGTTTGGGCAGTGGAGGGCCCTCTTAAATATATCCTGGCAGATAAAATGCCATGATTTCTCTATTACTGCATGATCATGACTGGGAGAATGAAGAGGATGTGATAATTATCTCCAGAGGACAAGATAGTTTTCACAGAGCTATCTTGAAAGACTAATGGACATCTGGAATACTGAGATGAGAATTAAAGTAGAATGAAAGATGCCTTGCAATTTATTATAGAATTGAACAATGTGTTCATCCAGGTTGCCAAAAAAGCAGATACCGAAATGGAATTAAATAGTCAAGAAATGAATTAGAAGAAAAATGCTGGTGAAAGAAAATGGGAAGGGTGCTGGGAGAGCCGTGCAGTTCTGATGAAGGTTGGCCAAGGCCACTGGGACGTTCTTGAGCCGAAACCATCAAGAGTCCTGTGTGTCTTAGGAACAGGAAGAGCAAACATCCTTGGTGCAAATGCAGCAATGGATTTCAAAGCACAGAAGCTGTCACCCAGCAAAGATCTGAAAAAAGCATTGTCATGTGACCTTAGGTAGGTGAGAAAGAAGGAAGGAATCTGGCATTTGCCATGATAGAATCTTTGATAGGCACAGCCAAACTTCTTAGATCCTAACTCACTCCTCTAATTAAGAATACAGTATCACCAAGTACATAAGGTTTGTAGAATATGTATAACCATAAATTAATGTATGAAGTTGCTGAAAAATTAGAGGAGAATTAGAAATATAAGATACTGCAGCCATCAAGTGCAGTAGGATTTGAAAGGATACAGTTCAGGATGGTGGATAAAAGCAGGAGTTTTCAGAGTTACAGGAAATAGATTTGAAGCTTAGCTCTACTATTTGGCTGTGTGACCTTGAAACAGTGACAATGTGCCTGAGTTTCTAAATCTTTATAGCTGGGACATCATGATACCTCCTTCAACAGGACTTTCAAAGAGTTAAATTAGGCTTTTTAATAATCATCATAATGACTGTCATGAGGTGGCATCTCATTGTGGTTTTGATTTACATTTTTCTAATGATCAGTAAAGTCTAGCTTTCTTTTCATACGTTTGTTGGCCGCATGAATGTCTTCTTTTGAGAAGTGTTTGTTCATGTCCTTTGCTCAGTTTTTAATGGGTTGTTTTTTTCTGGTAAATTTGTTTGCATTC
Organism: Homo sapiens; assembly: GCF_000001405.40. NCBI lineage: Eukaryota > Metazoa > Chordata > Mammalia > Primates > Hominidae > Homo > Homo sapiens. The sequence goes on along the minus strand of NT_187530.1, from coordinate 64,393 downwards.
CTCATAGACTCTGGATATTAGATCTTTGTCAGATGGATAGATTACAAAAATTTTCTCCCATTCTATAGGTTATCTGTTTGCTCTGATGATTGTTTCATTTGCTGTGCAGAAGCTCTTTAGTTTAAACCTCGTAATCACGCATATGTTCATTGCAGCATGTTCACAATAGCAAAAACATGGAATCAACCCAAGTGCCCATCAATGATAGATGGGATAAAGTAAATGTGGTACATAAACACCATGGAATACTATGCAGACATAAAAAAAGAATGAGATCATGACTTTTGCAGTGACATGGATGGAGCTGGAAGCCATTTTCCTCAGCAACCTAATGCAGGAACAGAAAAACAAACATCACATGTTCTCACTTATAAGTGGGAGCTGAACAATGAGAACACATGGATACATTGGGGGAACAACACACACTGGGGCCTGTTGGGAGGTGGCGGGAGGAAGACCGTGAGGAAGAATAGCTAATGGATGCTGGGCTTAATACCTAGATGATGGGTTGACATCTGCAGCAAACCCCCATGGCCCACATTTGCCTGTGTACCAAAGCTGCACATCCTGCACTTGTACCCCAGAACTTAAAAGTAAAAGAGGAAAAAAGAGTTAAATTAGGCCTAAATCCCAGGAAATTAGCCTTTATTGATGGTTTAGTATATTTTAGACGCTGTTCCATGCACTTTATAGTAGTTTACCAAGTTCTACTAGAAAACATAAAATAGGATGTAATATTGTTCTTAACAATTTTTTTTTTTAATTTTAACGCATGTAACAGATGAGGGAACTGAGGCATAGAAAGGTTGAGCACCTAACTGATTCTCGTTTTTGTAAGTGTGAGAATCAGAATTAAGTTCAGGTAGTCTCCCTGTCGTCTTTTCCTAACTACTACCCTACACTCTCCTGCCTCTCAAATACATCTGGATAGATAAAATGCCCTGATTTCTACATTACTGCATGATCATGACCCCAGGACAGGATGAAGAGGATGCAATAGTTACCTCCCAAGGAGGAGCTAGTTTTAACAGCACAATGTATGTTTTCCCCAAGAATCCATTTGGAAACTTGAACTTGATCAATATAATGCTCTGTATTTTCTGTAACTCTAGAGATCAAGTACTAGGTTGTAACAACCATAACCATTACCAGATACCCAAGAATTACTCTATTATGAGAATATCTTCTAGAAGTTATTTCAGAAAAGTCTGTTACTGCCTTAATCTGATGTCTTTAGGGTTAATATCCAATTGAGATATTTTAGGTTGCTCAGGGGCATAATGTCATTATTTGGGCAGCAGAGGCCCCTTCAGAATTTTTTCAACATGTATCATGCAGGCAGTTTCCTACTCAGATGATACATCTTAACTCCTCTCTTGGACAAGTGGCAATTGGAACCCTAAAATCTAAACTGGAGTTTCAATGCTGACACAATAGAGGGAGACAGGGTGAAGTAGGGCCTTCAACTCCAAAGGGTAGAACTCAGGTCATTTCTCATGTCTTGAGATTTGTACATCACTTGTGGTCCTCCCTAAAGGTGAGAAGGGAGAGGTTAAGGGTGCAAGTAATTTCTGACATTATGGACTGGTCTTGGGATGGAGACAGATTGTCAGTGACTATAAATAGTCCCAGGAGAGCGTCATGACTGTGAGGGTGTGCCTGAGGGGTGAGCAGTCCAGGTGTTCACCCACAAATCCTCTGGGGTTGACACCTGATGTTTATTGCACATGCTTAGGGATAGCTGGTGTTTTGGCTGCTGCTCTTGTGCATTAGTGAGCAGTCATAGGTCACAGAGACAGCAGAGTCACCTCTGAGCTCTCCCACTCCCAGGTGGTTTATTTGGAGAGTTATTTGTCTCATGAAGCTCCCTGGAGCCCAGGAGCTGTCAGTCTATTAAATCAAGGGAAAGAGAATTAGTAACACCTTCTTATTTTCAGGGTGTAATAACCTGCCCTATAAATCCACCCAAGTCCTGTTTTTAATCTTTAGTCTATGTGGGAAGCAACTGCTGTTATTGGTGCTGCATTGAGAATAGGCCACTTTATTACTTTGGAAGCCATAAAATACCTCTCTGGCTAGAAGGGAGGCTAATTCCCCTAGACCATTTGGGTAGATGCATTGATGCCCTCAGCCCTGTGACTGGTTTGGAATGCAGAATGTTGATCGAAAGGAGGAAAGTATATTTCCAAATAATTAGGTTTGAAATGTGCCATGATAAAGAAAAGTACATCTTGGGGGTCTATAGAAGTAAGCTTAAGTAAGCAAGGCAGTTTTTCCTGAATGATCGCCACAAAGCCAGCATTTGGCAGGACTTTCATAAAAACAATAAAAATTGTTCCAAGGTCAAAAAGTTTATGGACATATATTGAGAAGGTTTAAACCAATTACTCTAAAATGTCTGGGTCTTATTGTGAATCTGTAGGAGATATATAGTATGCAATGGCTACTAAACATATTTAATCATGGAAAACCCCTTCTCCTTTTGAGAAGGGCACCAAATAACGTGTTTTGACCTGTGTGCTATTTAGACAACAGCTCAAGATACGTTCTTCTGTATTAATATAAATTACTGAAACTTTTGTACCTGTTTTGGTAATTTGAGTCCCAAAGGAGGAGCTATCTGCAAATTACTTTATATGAGATGTAATTTTTCAATAACTAAATCAGACCCCCTCCTATCTCTAATGTGCACATGGGTAAACAAAGTATTTAGTTTGTGGAAGAGGGATGATTTTGCCCCAAGTCAAAAAGCTACTTAATTATTCATAAGGCAAATGTCCACCAGTTGATCTGCATGACTATTGCATGTTCTCCTGTTACTGGGATTTATTTTTCCATATTATACCAGGCATTTGGATCCACATCCTCAATCATCTTTCAATAAGTGACTTTTCTGGATATAAAGCAAAATGCCTTTCATTGTGAGAAAGGAAGAGAAAGGCAGGGGAAGGAAGATAGCCTGGCCATCTGGATATATTGGTCTATGTGATTATTCATAAGACAGCTCAAATAAGCAGATGCCATGGATGGTAATTAAACCTTTCTTCTGTTCTCACTGGAATGTAAAAACAGTGTTTCTACTGATGACAAAGGATCCTTGTCACATATTCAAGGGTAATCACAAAAGGGATACATAATAACCCTGTTAATCATCAGAGAACAAGAACATTTTTGGCAGCAGCACTTTCTCAAGGTGATCAAGATTTCTTTACCCGCAGCACCAACTCCTATGAAACACTTGTCAGACCTCAAACAGTGCATCCACTCGCCGGCTCTCCCAGGGTTTCAGCAATTAGCTAGCATGTCCCTTTGGTCTGAAGAATTTTTTTTTTTTTTTGTCTCTTCAGATGGCTCCATGGTCTAAGAGATAGTGTTATATCTACCCCCAAAGGGTGCTCAGTCTGTGATAGTAAAGCTTTGTGAAATTGCGGAAGCTGTCTTTGCTGGAAAGAATGTTCTTTGCCTGAACGGATAATATAGAAAAGTTGATAGCCTCCTTATGGCCTTTGCAGGCTTCACTGCTTTGTTTCTTTCTCATTTCCCAGGAAAGACAGATCACAGGAGAAAAGTCTGTTGCCTAGGACACAGGTTTATGATACATGTTGAGATCACTCTCCCTACAGCCTTCTCTATTTAGCCAGGGCACCACCGGCAACCACAGCCAGAGCCCCACAATGTGTGGCTCCAGGTGGGATTTTAGAACAAGGGAAAATAGATACCATGGTAACAAGAGGGTGGGGACTACTGAACCACCGCCTGTTGTCTTTCCCAGACCCTCCTCATTTTTAGGCCCCATTTTAAAAAATATATTTTCTAAATGGTCTCTCAACGGAGTTTACATAGGAATACTTCAGCAGTTATTTCTTCATGACCTACTAGGTCCTGAAGATACAGAAGTGAACAAAACAAAACAACCCCCATCCTCATCCCTGGTTCCATGAATAGGTACGGGTAGTTGCTTCATAAATGCCATTACATAATATGTATTGAGTGTTTACAGTTAATCAGATATCATTCTGATTGTGTTTTACACCTGTTCATAAATGTCATGCCCACCCTGTGAGCTGGTTTACAGATGAGAAATTAAGGAAATTTAGAAACAAATTCCCCATGATAATACAGCTAGTAAGTAGGAGAACCTGGATTTGACTCCAAGAAATCCCACTCCAGAGCTCACCTCCTCACCCCAACTAATATACTTGTTCCTGACTCACACTGAGTCTCCCACCACTACCACCAGACCTGTTATAGAGATGGGGTCATACAGATGTGTCTGACATTCCACCATTATAGCTTTATTTCCTGAATATGTCTTCCCCTGTGTCTGCTGTACATTGTATTTGGAATGATCCTGAGAGAACATGCATTCCCCTTGGGATTTCTTTAAAAAAAAAAAAAATTAAAAATGGCTCCTGTGGCCAGGCGCAGTGGCTCACGCCTGTAATCCCAGCACATTGGGAGGCTGAGGCAGGTGGATCACTTGAGATGAGGAGTTTGAGACCAGTCTGTCCAACATGGTGAAACTCTGTATCTACTAAAAATACAAAAATTGGCTGGGCGTGGTGGCACATGCCTGTAATCCCAACTACTTGGTAGGCTGAGGCAGGAGAATTGCTTGAACCTGGGAGGTGGAAGTTGCAGTGAGCCGAAACTGTGCCATTGCCCTCCAGCCTGGGCAACAAGAGTGAAACTCCGTCTCAAAAAAGAAAAAGCTCCTGTGGAGGTACTATAAGTGATAGTAATTCTAATCATAGTAAGTGGGATTAAATATGCCTGATTCTAGTTCCTATGTCACCATGTTAAGTAGTATATCAGTTTACTAGGACTGCCATGTAACAAAACAACACGAACTGGGTGGCTTAAAAAACTGAAATGTATTTTCTCACAGGTGTAGAGGCTGGAAGTCCAAAAGCAAGGATTAGGCAGGGTGAGTTTCTCCTGAGGCCTCTCTTCTTGGCTTGCAGATGGCCACTTTTTCACTGTGTCCCCACTTGGTCTTCTCTCCATGTATGCATATCCCTCATGCTTCTTTGTGGTTAGACTCTGTACTTCAAATTCCCTCTTCTTATCAGGAGACCAGTCAGATTAGATTCGGGCCCATCTTAATGAACTCATTTTAACTTAATCACCCCTTTAAAGATCCTGTCTCCAAATGCAGTCCCATTCTGAGGCATTGGGGTTAGGACTTCAGCCCATAGCAAGTAGTGTGCAAGTTACTTAATGTTTAACTCCCATTTTCCAAATGCATAAAATGGAAGTAGCCACAATGCTTACATTTTGGGGGCATTTCATGTAATAATATAAGTTATAAGGCTTAAATAAGGTCATTCTGTCTCTGGCCAAAGTATTGAATGAAACAACCGTATGCTTTTTGCCCCTTTTGTTTGAATAGCTGCTTTGTTCTTATCTGTCGGGTTTTAGCTCAGATAATCACCCTGATAATTTCTTCAGAGAACTTTCAAAACCAGAACTTATTATTATTATTTACTTGTATATTATCTCTGTCATGCCACTAGAATTTAAGCTCTTATCACAGAAGGAACTGTATCTGTCCAACTCACTGTCATACCAAACATCCTAAAATGGAGCATGACATATTTACAGGGTGCACAACAAATGTTTGTGAGATGAATGCATGCAAAATATTTTTTAAAACCTAATTACATTTAGGTTTTCTTTCTTTTTTCCCCCAGTAGGGCTTTCATCAGACGTATTTAAGACCTTTTTCTTTTGCTCATTCTACTACTCTAGCTGACTGAATTTCCTGTTTCTGAGCAGCAGTTGGGTCCTTTCACATTTAGACTTCTACTTTGAGAGTGAAATTTCTGTCCTAAGGAGACGTCTTCATCACAGCCTCAGGTAGGAAATACACAGCTCTCCTGCTGCTCAGCACCAACCTAGGGATTTCACCCCCATTCACTCCCAGCTTCTTCCTTATTCCTATCTGGCTATTTTATTTGTTTAAAGTTAAATATGTTTCAAACAATACTATTAATACATTGCACCATTTCCTCCCTTAACAAGAAATAATTTATCAAGATTTTCAAACTTAATATCTAGCTGAGGGCACACTTCAAAAGAGAGGAGATAGAGACTGGGTAGACATGGACTCTGGGTGCATGAATGGAAGGGAGATGTATAGGCAAGAAGCATGAAAGACAGCATGTTTTTACTTCTGGTTGCCTTCTGAAAACTGAAAATGTTCTCTTAGCTTTCTCATCCCCAGTTCTAACAAGGTGTTTTGAAATCGAATTTTTATATTGGCTCCCCTGTGGCCTCTGGCTCAGGAAGAACACCACTTTCTTTTTTTTTTTTTTTTTAAGTTTTTTTTCTTTTATTATTATACTTTAAGTTTTACGGTACATGTGCACATTGTGCAGGTTAGTTACATATGTATACATGTGTCATGCTGGTGCGCTGCACCACACTAACTTGTCATCTAGCATTAGGAATATCTCCCAATGCTATCCCTCCCCCCTGCCCCCAACCCACAACAGTCCCCAGAGTGTGATGTTCCCCTTCCTGTGTCCATGTGATCTCATTGTTCAATTCCCACCTATGAGTGAGAATATGCGGTGTTTGGTTTTTTGTTCTTGTGATAGTTTACTGAGAATGATGATTTCCAATTTCATCCATGTCCCTACAAAGGACATGAACTCATCATTTTTTATGGCTGCATAGTATTCCATGGTGTATATGTGCCACATTTTCTTAATCCAGTCTATCATTGTTGGACATCTGGATTGGTTCCAAGTCTTTGCTATTGTGAATAATGCTGCAATAAACATACGTGTGCATGTGTCTTTATAGCAGCATAATTTATAGTCCTTTGGGTATATACCCAGTAATGGGATGGCTGGGTCAAATGGTATTTCTAGTTCTAGATCCCTGAGGAATCGCCACACTGACTTCCACAATGATTGAACTAGTTCACAGTCCCACCAGCAGTGTAAAAGTGTTCCTATTTCTCCACATCCTCTCCAGCACCTGTTGTTTCCTGACTTTTTAATGATTTCCATTCTAACTGGTGTGAGATGGTATCTCATTGTGGTTTTGATTTGCATTTCTCTGATGGCCAGTGATGATGAGCATTTTTTCCTGTGTGTTTTGGCTGCATAAATGTCTTCTTTTGAGAAGTGTCTGTTCATGTCCTTTGCCCACTTTTTGATGGGGTTGTTTGTTTTTTTCTTGTAAATGTGTTTGAGTTCATTGTAGATTCTGGATATTAGCCCTTTGTCAGATGAGTAGGTTACAAAAATTTTCTCCCATTTTGTAGGTTGCCTGTTCACTCTGATGGTAGTTTCTTTTGCTGTGCAGAAGCTCTTTAGTTTAATGAGATCCCATTTGTCAATTTTGGCTTTTGTTGCCATTGCTTTTGGTGTTTTAGACATGAAGTCCTTGCCCATGCCTATGTCCTGAATGGTAATGCCTAGGTTTTCTTCTAGGATTTTTATGGTTTTAGGTCTAACGTTTAAGTCTTTAATCCATCTTGAATTGATTTTTGTATAAGGTGTAAGGAAGGGATCCAGTTTCAGCTTTCTACATATGGCTAGCCAGTTTTCCCAGCACCATTTATTAAATAGAGAATCCTTTCCCCATTGCTTGTTTTTCTCAGGTTTGTCAAAGATCAGATAGTTGTAGAAATGCGGCGTTATTTCTGAGGGCTCTGTTCTGTTCCATTGCTCTATATCTCTGTTTTGGTACCAGTACCATGCTGTTTTGGTTATTGTAGCCTGCTCCTGAATGACTACTGGGTACATAACGAAATGAAGGCAGAAATAAAGATGTTCTTTGAAACCAACGAGAACAAAGACACAACATACCAGAATCTCTGGGACGCATCCAAAGCAGTGTGTAGAGGGAAATTTATAGCACTAAATGCCCACAAGAGAAAGCAGGAAAGATCCAAAATTGACTCCCTAACATCACAGTTAAAAGAACTAGAAAAGCAAGAGCAAACACATTCAAAAGCTAGCAGAAGGCAAGAAATAACTAAAATCAGAGCAGAACTGAAGGAAATAGAGACACAAAAAACCCTTCAAAAAATTAATGGATCCAGGAGCAGGTTTTTTTTGAAAGGATCAACAAAATATATAGACCGCTAGCAAGACTAATAAAGAAAAAAAGAGGGAAGAATCAAATAGATGCAATAAAAAATGATAAAGGGGATATCACCACCAATCCCACAGAAATACAAACTACCATCAGAGAATACTACAAACACCTCTATGCAAATAAACTAGAAAATCTAGAAGAAATGGATAAATTCCTCAACACATACACTCTCCCAAGACTAAACCAGGAAAAAGTTGAATCTCTGAATAGACCAATAACAGGAGCTGAAATTGTGGCAATAATCAATAGCTTACCAACCAAAAAGAGTCCAGGACCAGACAGATTCACAGCCGAATTCTACCAGAGGTACAAGGAAGAGCTGGTACCATTCCTTCTGAAACTATTCCAATCAATAGAAAGAGAGGGAATCCTCCCTAACTCATTTTATGAGGCCAGCATCATTCTGATAACAAAGCCGGGCAGAGACACAACCAAAAAAGAGAATTTTAGACCAATATCCTTGATGAACATTGATGCAAAAATCCTCAATAAAATACTGGCAAAACGAATCCAGCAGCACATCAAAAAGCTTATCCACCATGATCAAGTGGGCTTCATCCCTGGGATGCAAGGCTGGTTCAATATACGCAAATCGATAAATGTAATCCAGCATACAAACAGAGCCAAAGACGAAAACCACATGATTATTTCAATAGATGCAGAAAAGGCCTTTGACAAAATTCAACAACCCTTCATGCTAAAAACTCTCAATAAATTAGGTATTGATGGGACGTATTTCAAAATAATAAGAGCTATCTATGACAAACCCACAGCAAATATCATACTGAATGGGCAAAAACTGGAAGCATTCCCTTTGAAAACTGGCACAAGACAGGGATGCCCTCTCTCACCACTCCTATTCAACATAGTGTTGGAAGTTCTGGCCAGGGCAATTAGGCAGGAGAAGGAAATAAAGGGTATTCAATTAGGAAAAGAGGAAGTCAAATTGTCCCTGTTTGCAGATGACATGATTGTATATCTAGAAAACCCCATTGTCTCAGCCCAAAATCTCCTTAAGCTGATAAGCAACTTCAGCAAAGTCTCAGGATACAAAATCAATGTACAAAAATCACAAGCATTCTTATACACAAACAACAGACAAACAGCCAAATCATGAGTGAACTCCCATTCACAATTGCTTCAAAGAGAATAAAATACCTAGGAATCCAACTTACAAGGGATGTGAAGGACCTCTTCAAGGAGAACTACAAACCACTGCTCAAGGAAATAAAAGAGGATACAAAGAAATGGAAGAACATTCCATGCTCATGGGTAGGAAGAATCAATATCGTGAAAATGGCCATACTGCCCAAGGTAATTTACAGATTCAATGCCATCCCCATCAAGCTACCAATGCCTTTCTTCACAGAACTGGAAAAAACTACTTTAAAGTTCATATGGAACCAAAAAAGAGCCCGCATCGCCAAGTCAATCCTAAGCCAAAAGAACAAAGCTGGAAGCATCACACTACCTGACTTCAAACTATACTACAAGGAAGAACACCACTTTCTGCTCAATCAAAGAGAAATTTTGGATCCTTCTGAGAAGTTTCCTTTCCCTTCTCTGCTTTAATCATTTGGTCACTAGGTTATGTCTCTTCTGTTCATCTCACTCTACAAATGTGGATTTGGATAAGGAATTCTCATTTGAATGACTACATGAGTGACAGGTCCCTACAAGTATCTGCCCCCTCACATCAATCTTTAGCAAAGCCATAATAAATTCCACACTCAGATAGCATTCAGGACCCTACAGGGACCTCTGCCTACTGCCTTCTCCATCTTCCCATTCTTCACATTATTTCATAGAAGTGTGGGTAACTCACCCCACACTGTCATCATGAGTAATATTTCTTTAACTTTTAATTTTAGATTAACTTTAGGCTTCCAGAATGTTGTGAAAATTGTGCAGTTTTTGTATACTTCTCACCTACTTGCCCCTATTTTTAACAAATTACAGAACAATTATCACAACTAAGGAAACAATTCCAATTATATTCCTATTAACTAAGTTAACTAAGTCCAAATTTATTTGGAAATTCCTAGTTTTTACCTAATGTCCTTTGATCCTGTTCCAGGATCCCATCTAGAACACCATGTTCCATTCAGTTGACATGTCTCCTCGGCCTCGTCTGGACAGTGGTAGTTTCTCAGGCTTTTCTTATTTTTAATGAACTTGACAATTTTGAGTAGTGGTTATTTTCTAGAATTCCCCTCCACATGGTTAGACTTAGGTTGTGGATTTAGGGGAGGAAGACCACAGAGGTCAAATGTCATTCTCATTGTATCATATCAAGGGAATACATTATGAATGTGGCTTAAAGTGATGTAAAACTGAATCATCTGGTGGAAACAGTGTTTCTAGGTCTCTTCACTACAAAGCAACCCCATCTGCCTACCTTTCTAAACACTGTTTTCTGAAAGAGCAGCCCACACTCAATGAGGGTAGGAAAGAGAATATTAAGCCCCACATCTTGGAGAGGGAGAATCTACAAAAATTACTTGGAATCATCTGTGTGCTATGTCTTCTACCTCCATTCATTTATTTCATTCAATCAACAATTTATTTATATAATCATTAATAGATATTAATTTAATGTATTGGGTTATAACCCAGTGCTACATTATTTTGGTTCTCAAATTGTGTCAGCTTTGGCTATTGGGAGCTCTTACAGGTTAGTCTCTTTGACCCTTTATTTCTGAGCACTTCTTTAACTTTCTGGCACTGCAAGTTGCTCTGTGAGGTTCTTGTATCTTCCCACCTCTTCCCTAAAACCCGAAGAGCTCTGGTTTCTTTTATTAAAGAATGGCATCAGAAATCCAGATTTGGCCACGCACAGTCTCTTACTGCCTTCCATTGCTTCTAAACTCTCTCAGTGGACAGCTATGAAATATATGTATGTATACTAATCTGCATATAGACACATATATACATAAAATTATTTTCATATCCTTTTATATCGATATTAAATATCTAAGCATGAGTCCGTACTATGTCACAGAGTCTAATCCTATACCTGATGATTCCTAGCCATTTTTCCCTTGCTTATCTGTAACTTCCATCTCCAGCAGAGAGAAATGTCACTCCTGCCTTCGACAATCCATTTACTTATTTGTTCAACCCCAGTATATTTGTAAAGCAGTTTCAGCATTTTTAACTCATATCCCTGAGAGACATAACTTTACCTACTAGAGTATAGTGTTTATATGCACATCCCTCATTGTCTCTTTAGCCTTACAGTTTCCAGTCAAATAACTGCTCTCCAAAGTTACTTTTGTTGGAAACTTCTTCAGTGAAGTTAAATTTAGGTTTTTACCATTTTTGTTACAGTGCATTTCATCCTGGGATTCCCTAACTCTTGGCTGATTTTTTGTTGTTGCGTATATTAAGATTTCATTCTTCAGGCCGTAAAGTTCTATTGGTTTTGAAAGATGCATATTGTCTTATTACTGCAGTACCATGCGTATTTTTTCATCACCTTAAAAATCCTCTATACTTCTCTAGTTGAATGCTATCTCCTTCCCAAACCTTACCAACCACTGATATGTTTCTATCTTTGGTAACCTTGCCTTTTACAGAATGTCATATGAATTGAGTCACACAATATGTGGTCTTTCGGGTCTGTCTTCTTTCATTCATCCATATTTTTGTGTGAATTAATAGCTTGTTTCTTTTTATCACTGAATAGTAATCCTATTGTATGGATAGACCACAGTCTACTCACCAATTGAAATATTAGAAGATATCTCAGTTACTTCTAGTTTTTGGCAATTATGACTAAAGCTGTTATAAATGTCTGCGTGCATGTTTTCAGATCAGTTTGATAAATAGCTTAAGAGTGTAATTGAATCATACAGTAAGCCTAGGTTTAACTACAGGCAGTAATTTGAAGCTTTCTTCAAATGCACTTTACTCTGAAATGCCTCTGGAGTTACGCAGATGCTTTTCTTTTGCCTGGAATGCTCTGCCCTCTTCCCTTTGTATTTGTCCACTTCTTTCTTGCAGACATCTTCTCAAGTGTCTCCTTCTCTTAAAAATCTTTCCCTCTTCTTCTCGGCCTAAATTAGAGACTGTTACATGTATGTATAATGTGTATCTCATTCATCATATACCATTGCAATTTTTAATATTCTTGTCTTCCTCTCTGACAAGTCCATGAACACTTTCAGGGAAAGTGTTGTACCTTTCATTTCTGTTACCTCAGTTTTTAGTACTGGCTTCAGTAGATAATGGAAATTCATTAATTGAGTGTTCAATCATATTTTTTCCATCATACCATACCCAAGCTTCCTCTACATCCCAATTTAATTTTTCCAATATCACTGTGTTTCTTATAGGTGTAATGTATTTGATATTTATATTTTGCTCATAAGTTAACCCATAACTGTTGTTAATTCAGACTCATCTCACTCTATATTTTATATGAGTTTCTATAAACACTTCAACTGTATAAATGAAAAAACACAACCATAGTTAATTTGTCCTTTGCTGTTTACATTTTCAGATGCCCAAAGTTGTTTTTGTAACACTGAATGTTTTCCCTTTTTCTTAAAAGTACAGGAAACAGACATTTCTTGAGGTTTCTGCTAGAGAAAGCTCAGGAGACAGGTCTGACTCCATCAAAGTGCAGTGTCAGTCATTAGCTTTGTTATGTTGTGTGTATAAATTCACACACACACTCACACACACACAAAGAGGAGCTGGAAGTTAGGAAGGTTGGGGATATGTACACCTGCACAATTGTTCAGGGGTGGGAAGCATCCTGACCTCTTTGAAGAGTACTTATGTGTCCTTTTAACATTATTGGCAGTTACAGGAGGGCATCAAGGGGGAGCATAGGCTCTTGGTCATATTGTAAAATCAAAACTGAACAAAAAGGGAAGTAATAATATAATGTCTCTTTTCTTCCTAGGTGAGTGAAAGAAATTATTTTAAAAGCCTCAGGCAATCTTTCAGCTCAAAAGTTTTTTTTTCATTTCTCTAAAGGTGCATATTCTGAAAAAAGCTAAGCCTCTCTTTTTGTATTATTTATACACAGAGATCATTTTTGCTGAGATTGTAAGAAAATTATATTACTAAATGCTGCAGCTGGTCTTGATCTGACCTGGCTGATACTGGTGCTGGTAGTGGTTGCATTATTTCCTTCCAGGCACTCTTGTCATAAAAAGAGAAAAAGCTAGAGGGAGGTGTAAGGGAGGAGGACAGAAAAAAAAATCCATGTAAATCTTGTTTTCCAGAAGCCATCAACCCCAGCCCCATACCAACTAATTCTCAGCATCACATACACAAACATATTGGAGGAACTTAAGTCTTTGGAGGAAATAGAAAATATATTAATTTATGATAAATGTTGAGGACTTCTCTCAGTACAATCATAGGAAAATTGGCCAAGTGGGAAAAAAATGTCAAAAGATGATCTCCCAATATTTAGAGCAGGGCCACTAGAGTGGGTGAAGTTTGTGGTCAGTGAAGCAATAGAGATATGCCCAGTGGTATGAGAGTGCAGGCTCCAGGTCCACACCAACCTTGTTCATGCACTGGATATGACTGAGGTATAAAACCTCTCTTACTTCATTTGCATCATCTCTAACTTGGAGAAGATGCCTGCCTCCTAGAGCAGCTATAAGGAATTAATCAGTTATTCCATTTAAAACACTTTGACTAGTCAGGCACATCGCAGACTCTCAGTGCTAGCTGTTCTCATTCCTTCTCCAGCTTGTGCTTCTGATGGGGATGCCTCACATTAGCAGACTTCCAGCTTTGAGACTAAAGGGAGGTCCCTATTGTTCTGTATTAATTGAATCTTCAGGCATTTGTTCCAGAGGCACCATAAAAAAGGGAAGGGCTTTCTCTCAATGCAGATCCAAAAGAGAGAAATTTGCTAAGCCCTGCCTGCAGAACTAAAAAGCAGCAGACAACACTTCCCTGCCTTTATTTTAAAAAAGTAATCAGGACCAAAAAACCCTGAAGCATCACAAAATGAAGTTGTTAAGAGTCCATAATCATTGTAGCTTGCTCATGTTTATTACTTTAATTTCCTGTTTCTCTGCCATGATGATCAGTGGACCTTTAAACCAAATAACCTGTGTACTTAGCTTTACTGCAGAAACTGGAGAGACTGTGTACTACTCTGCAACCAACCAGGGTTTTGCAGAAATAGAAAGTTAGGGGATAGAAATGATAGTGATAGTTCCTTAAGGGAAAAGTTATCAGTCTGCAAATCTTCACTCCATTCCTGAGAATGAAAGAGATGGCCTGGAGGCTTTGCCTTAAAAAGATCCTGGGGTTGGCTTCTTGACCTAAAGCATCCTTTTTCTCTTTGTTTTTAGGTAAGAAGGAAAAACAAAGATTGTGAGATGCAAATAATTTAGAGGCATCAGCATAAACAGAACCAGCTGGTTATTTTCCTTTCTGCCCAATTCTTCTTTTCTCTTCTGATAAAAAAAAGAGTAAGTGAAAATTCCAGCATTGTATCAAAGATGAGTAAGCAGAGAGATTCAAGGGTTACCACATTTTGACACAAACTGTATTCCGTGTTGAAAAAAATGAGCTGATTTGCATTGTGCAGAATCCAATCTCCCTAATCAATTATTGATGGCCGGTGGAAAGTGATAAATGGCCTGCCAGCCAGAAAATCACTCTGTTTCAGCTCAGCATGGAAACAGATGATAGGATTTTCAATATACACAATGAGACCTTTCCAATATACATGATGAGACCTTCCTCTTATACTTAGCATTACTTTCACTCTAAAATTACGGAAGCTTTCAATTTTAGAATCTAGATGTGTTTATGAAGCAAAAACATTAAAAATTGCCAAACTAAAAAGAATATTATTTCAAACAGTATCCTTATTTTCCAATTTCATAAATACAAGTATTGATGGCATAATGAAAATCACATCTGGGAGACAGAATAAAGTGGGCAAGAGTGAATTTTAGTTTTGATTATGTTAATTCCTTGTTATGACACCTTGAGTGAATTTAATTTCTCCGTGCCTCAGTCTCTTCATTTGCAAAATGAAGATAATAATTTAATAAAATAAAGACCTTTGGCCAATCTTGCACAAATTGAAACTGAATAGATGTCCTAATCTATTGCCACTGGTAAGGCTTTCCCTCTTATCAATGTGGCAATGACTCAAACACTCACCTGGACTTAAGAAGTAGCTGGAACATTAGGGAAAAAGTATAAATTTTAAAATTCCCAACTCTCAACCCAAATCTACTGAGGCAAAATTTATAGGGAGAGGACTGTAAGCTGTATTTTAGCTATGCCTCCAGGTAATTTTGATCCTTGATCAAGTTTGGACAAATGCCAATTAACAACTGGACATCCTGGCTTTGGCTCTCTTTCAGCTGAAATAATTTTACTTAGAACATTGAGTGCAAATTTTCTGGAGCCTCTTACAGATTTTTTTTCTAGTGTTGTAATACCTGAATCTGTGTGTAGCCAGGTGTACCAGGCACATGGCCCCCTCTTCATCCAGACAGCAGACATACTACTGTAGGATTGTCTTCAGCAGCTCAGCATCCTCTCACTTCCAGTCCTGCATCTGGAGGGTTAAATACAGGACATGCATGAGGAATGGATTTGGAGGTCCAGGATCAGGGAGAAATGTAAAATCCTCTAATGCCTTCTTTAATCCAGCTTCACAGTAACAAATTCATATTGCATTTTTATTCTCATTTGGCTTGCTTCTTCTCAAGGACCCAGGGTAGAGAGGGGTAAATAAAGAAGTATAAGTTTATATTAAAACTATACTAATAATTTTAAAACAACTACAAATTTAGCAATGTTCTTATCCTTTCATAAATACTGTCAACTACAGAGATTGCAGGCATTCAACAGATTTGAATACTTAAATTACTATTTTTTTGCATGAATTCCTGACAATCTTGTAAGAATCTTTCTAGAAGTTACCCCCTCAGAGAGAAGGAAGTTTGCATATATATAAAGCAGATTTAAAAGTATAAGATAAAATAGTGCACTTATTCTAACATTTTTTCTGTGGAGAGTTTTTACTCTTATTTCTCCTGCAGTCCAAATGTTTGTTACATTAAAAAGTATTCCAGTATTCATATAGTGCCCAGAATAAAACTTCTCAGTATAATTTATTTGAGTTCTACTTTTGTACTTTGACCTTCTTGTGGTTTTACACTCTCTCGCTGTTCTTTCTACTTTCATAAACAGGTTGCAGGAATTGAGTCAGATCATGATTAGGCATTGAGCCTCTTTCTTCATTTTACTGGGCTAGTGGTATCTGCAGAGATAAAATTCTATCTCCAAGTGATTGGCGTTCAGGAGACATCATTCACAGTTCCTAAAATTCCTCCCTTTCTGTGTAATATGGGAAGATGGACTATCATGGATATCATAGAGAAAAATGTTTAGGAAGACAGATTGCATTGAAAATGGATTCAATTCTATGATTTTTCATGGATTTAAGGGACAAAGAGTTAATACCAATAACTTTGCAGTTATAGACAGCAAGTCATGCTTCAGGAGCCATTGAAGTAAAGTGATAGGAAAAAAAACCATAAATTAAAATTTATTTTGATGTTCTTATCCAAAATAACAACATACAGAGAAATATGGGTATTATAACTAGCAAGAGAGAGAGATTTGCATATTCATACAAACTTTAGAATGTTAACTTAGTTTTTCTCTTTTATAAAAATATTGATGCACTCTTTGTCCATTTTTGAAAAATATTGGATTAGACAATATAATTCCAGAAATTGTACTTAACTGTGATTGTCTCTAAAATTAACACATTATTAGCCGAAATCACAAAACTTTGTAAAGTATTATAAAACAACATAAATATAATAAAGCTTCTCATTTTTGCATTTTGCCCACTTTGTTAATACAATGTGAACAGAATGTGGACTCAAAAAAAAAAAAGTAACAAGTAGTACTAAGGACAAACTCACTTAGTGGGATCTAGGTTATACATAAAATAGCAAGTCAAAAGAGCTTGCATTGATTAGGTGTGGTGGCTCATGCGTGTAATCCCAGCACTTTGGGAGGCCAAGATGGAAGGATTGCTTAAGACCAGTTTGGGCAATATGGTAAGGCCTCATCTCTACAAAAAAAACCTTTATAACTTAGCCAGGTGTGGTGGCACATGCGTGTGGTCTCAACTACCAAATTGCTGACTGAGGTGAGAGGATAGCTTGAGCCCAGGAGTTTGAGACTACAGTAAACCTTGTTTATGCCACTTACACTCTAGCTCTGGCAACAGAGTGAGACTCTGTCTCAAAAAAGAAAAAAAAAAAAAAAAAAGAGCTTGAATTATCAGAGTTGGCCATGCCTGCAAAGGGAAATCACCCACACGTATAATCGGATAATGGGAGAAGGAATACAAAATCCAATGATCCCGAACATTCCTTCCACTAATCCTAAATGATGTTGAATTCTCAAGAATGGATTTAGGTTAAATCACTAAAATCTGTTAAAATGCATGTGTTTCAAGGAAAAGAGAACATATTAGGTCAGGATTGTTCACTGATTTGTTTTAAATACAATGATGAACAGCTTTTATCTTTAGCGGAGATCAAATAGGGATAAATCAAGTACATTTTCTAGGCCCACTTTGGAGACTGGGATGCCGCTCTAATCCTGGAAGGATAGGAGACCCAGAAAATAACAGATACGAGGAAGAATAAGAGAATTAAAGAAAATGTCACACGAGTTGGAATCATGTCCTTAATCCAACTGATCTATGTCAAAGTGGAATAATATCATTAGATAGCAACACATATTTGGAGTTGAGATAATTGTGTTGTAAACAAATGATAAATTCTACAATAGGAATATTCAGAGATTCATTTACAAAAGTAATGACAATTACTGAAAGTGATAATTTTGCCATCAAATCACTAGGGCATGAGACAAAGTATTAAGGGGAGCTTACCAATTTACAGTGAGGGAGGTGTCAGATTTTTGGCTCTTACCACTAAGTTCTGTAAAAATCCATTCATGAGCTATTAATACTATATGTTCAAAATGTTTATATTTTACATTTAGGCATAACGTAATGCTGATTTGTTTTTTAAAGCACTAATAGGCTCTTATGATATTTTCTATCCATCATGCCATTTTTTTCCTAATACACCTAGTGTGCTTTCTGGACACCACACTATTTCATTTGAGGCTTGTTTTGAGTGTGTCTGGCTACAGGGCTCCCTTAAGCGGAGGGCCAAAAAGTGTCCTAGGGAAACCATTTTCTTTGGCTGCTTACAGGGGCTCCTGTCCAGCTATTGCAGTATTGCAAGCAGAGGCACAGTCCATTCCACAAATGGTGGAAGGGACCATGCTTTCTTCCTCTGTGAGGTAGCAGAATGGCAGCAGCCAGGATGTGAATACCCTGTCAAAAATACCAGGAGTTCATCTTCTGCATCCATGTTATTTCAAGCTCTTAAAACTCGAGGTAGAGAGGAATTACTTTAGCTTTTTTAGTTTCTCCTCAGTGCCCTGGGAGCCAAGCTCCCACAGATCTTAAGAATATCCAAGGTCAAACACTTTTTAATATAAGCGAGTTTCTATTCCTCATCCTGGGACATATGATGCTGTCCTCAGGTTCTCCAATACTTATGGCCTCAGTTTTGCTTTCTAAGGCAAGTTTCTACAGCTTTAATATGCAAGCAAGTCTAGTGAATGATCTTGCTATAGTGCAAGTTCCGATTCATAGATTGCATTGGGAATCTGCATTTGTCACAAGCTGCTGTGTGAAGACTTTGCAGCTGACCTACTTGCTATGGAGCAAGTGACCAGGGCATCTATTCTGCAAGCCCCAGGTGCTAAATAACTAGTTAGCTCAGATGGGTTCAAACTGAAACAAAGGGCAGCTAAAGTATGTTCAGATGGCCATTCTTCCAAAGTCCCCCAAATCCCTAACAGATTTGTATCCAGGATTCTACTCTGAATTCAAATCTCTGTCAAGCCTTGGTTTCTATCATTTAAGATGGGGAAAATAACACCCATTTTGAAGGTTCATTGTTATATAAGGATTAATATGAAAGTGTTCTGAAAACAGAAACACAAATATAATATTTTGTAATATCACAGCTAAAATAAGAAGTTCTATGATTGCTGTGACTATTTCATTCAGAACTAATTGACCTTGATATCATAAGTATTTGTAATTATCAAGCTTCAAATGTTCCTTTCATATAATGACAGTTGCTCCCTGTTTCTGTGCTTTGTTAAAAAGGGAAAAAAATAACTGATTAATAGTAAAGTTAAATTACACTACTACATCCTTCAAAGATTGTTTTGAAAGTACACTAATTATCTCTTTTAAAGAGTTATCAGTCCAACTTTTTTAAACTTCCACCCGTTTTCCATTCTATTACATCAAGGTAAGGGTTTCATGGTGTGATTATCTGTTTCCTTCCTAAAGAGCCAAGATCCAATCTCAATGCATCCTAATGGTTAGAATCTGAGCAATATAGAGAAAAGCAGAATCATCCTGAATCTTTTTATCTCTGAGTTTCCTAGAAGACTAGGGAGTATTTCAATTAAAAGTAAATCAAAAGGAACCCATCTGAATGTCTGATTTGGGAGCTTGCATATGCTTGGTTGTTAATACTGTTCCTAAAATCTGGAGAACAACTTAATGATTGACCTAATTAAGTGAAGACAGAAATGACTTAATCAAGATCTTTCTAAGCTGAATTAAGGAAACATTTAAAAAATGGAATCTTCTTAATAAAAACAAGAAAAACAACCCAGTAACAGGCCTTATGCAGTAATCCAGGTTTGACTATTTGGAAGAAAATTAACATACATAAGCGCCTATTGTGTATCAGTCATCTGAGTTCATTCTCAAAGCACCCCTATGTGGTGCGACTTATAATCCACATACTACATATGAGAAAATAGATGTAGAGTTACTAAGACCTTAGTTTATAAGATAACAGGCCTGAGTTTATAAGATAATAGGTGGTAGAGCTGGGAATCAAATTTATCTGACTCCAAAGGTCAATAACGTTGTCTTTCACTGCGCCAAAAACCCTCCACTCAGCTGTGTGTCATCATGGTCCAAAGTACCTGAATTAGAGTATGCTGTTGTGAGAATGAAAATATTTACTACAATAGTATAGTTGAAACCATATCACATTGAAGTGTGTATTTTCTTAAAATACGAATAGCCCAAGGGGACAAGAATATATTTTCATGCATTTATTATACAAAGGAGAATAATACTATACCTGCAGGAGAATAATACTATACTAATGCAGGTATAGTATTGCATTTGAGAAAATATAATTTGTGGTCACTGGGGGAAACCAATTCTTTCATAGATAAGTTTCAATGAAAATTATAAAGTATTATTGACCTCACATAAGCAAGCCAGAGCCTATGAACAAAACAAACCTTATAGTTACCCTCCACTCCACAACCCCAGAGAACTGACAATATCACACAACAGAGTATCCATAGCATACAGCTCATCTCCAGGAGCTCCTCCATCTCCTCTTCCCAGCCCTACTCTATCTGTGGTCCCCGGTGCCATCCTCCCTGCAGCATGGACACTGGACTCTGTACTCATGAGGCTGGTACCAACCTAAGGCTTGGTCCAGTCTCTCTAGCCTTTCTTTTGTTGCTCATGCCACATGTTTCAGAACATTCCTGAACCATGGTTAAATGACTGAAGCTAATCTGAGAAGGCTTCCATGTTTTAGAGTAATCGAATAGTACAGCTGGAAGAGTTGCTATAGTTAAGACAATTCTCCTCATTTTATATATGGGAAAACTGAAGCACAGATGTTACATGCCCAAAGTAACATAGACGATTGCCAGCAGAGTTTGTATCATTGCCTAGCTGCCATATGCTAAGACAAGTGTTTTGTTTAGGGTGCTAAAAGGCCACCGTTCCTTTCATATTTAACCCTTTTAAAAGGTGATGCAAGACATATTTATATTTCACCTTAGCCTCCAGTCCCATAACCAGAGAGGAGACTAGTGATAAGAATATAAGTCCTATCATGGCATATATTTTTGTTTATTTGTTTTTGTTCTGTTTTGCTTTGCTTTTTATTTAAGTAGTTTCAGGGGTATGAGTGGTCTTCGGTTACATGGATGAATTGTATAATGATGAAGATGGCATATAGTAATTTGGAGTGCTACGTATATTAGAAATCTTTGGTGCAAAAACATAGCATACCAGAAACCCAATTAAACTACTTTTGGGGAAAAAATTTGTTTTTTGGCTCATATAACAAAAACAGGACAGACATGGAGTTTCAGGGCAACTAAATGCAGGAAATCACAGCTGTTAGCTCATTTTATCTCTTTCTGCCTATCCTTCTATTGTTCTCTTCCTGGCTTCCTCTCTCCTGCTTCCTCATCTGTGCTGTATTCCCATGGTGAACTGGAAACTATGTTCTCCTTCATGCTACCTTTATTGTTTTTAAAATGTTATACATTGCCATCAAAGCTGACAGACTTTTGCCATAGACTGGGAATGTGGCCAGCTGGAATTCTATGATCTAAATGAGGTATTTCCCTGCAATTGCAGTAAAAATGTCCTAGAGTAGGATTCTAATTACCTTGGCTTGGCTCAAGAGCCCACTGGGGACCAATCATCATGGCTAGGGAGATGCAATATTATCAGCCTGGATTACAGACCACACGTATAGGGGATTGGAGTCCTATGTCTGTGTCTAAATAAGCGGAGGTATAGGAAAGAAAAGACACCTCAAGGATGCCTTTGCTAACTCTCAAATTAGAGTTTGTAGGCCAATATGGTCAAGTGTAGAACCAGTCTTGTTCAAAGCTGGGACATGATAAAACTTGTTACTTTTGTTCTCTGTCCCAGTTGCCATCCTTTAGTGAGATGATATTCTAGAGTCCATAGAGAACACAAAATCACAAGAGAATGTAATAGACCATGGACTTAAGAATCAAACTCAGCTTTAAACAGTGGCTCAGCCACCTTCCCATTCTTTTATAACTCCTTGAGCAAGCTATGTAATGTCTCTGGCAAGGTTAATATTCACACTTTGTAAAGTAAGAATAAAAACTTCAGTTTGTACAGATAGATAATTCATAACAGCATGAGACCTTTCATAGTTTCTTTACATTACCTTCATCCTCTACTCCTTCCAAAGAAAGAGAGGATTTTATAGGTGGCAGTAGAGAAACAATATAGTGAAATATCTAGAATGATGACTTCCCATAACTGAAGTAGAGAGAGAAAATGGAAAATAAGGTAAACTGATAAAATTGAAGACCACCTAAAATGTTTGTGAACAGTAAAACTGTCAAATAGAGGAAGCAATGCCATCAAACAAGAGGAGAACATTCATTATCCAAGAGATTAATTATGCCACTGCAAATGCATCTTATTTCAGCAGAAGATGAATAAATCACCATTGTTTGGAGAAAGGGACCTGTAAACACTGGAAGTGAGGGGGGGTACCAACTGTCTTCCTGGGAGAACATGCTTGTGTTTCTTCTGATCTTCACTTCCTATTTCAGAAATGAAAAGACAAATAGGCCCTGCATGAGAATGATCAGAGAGCAGAGCTTCAGCCGTGGTTGAATCTTACTCATCCACATCTTCAAATTCTTGGAGGAGCCCTTCTTTAAGGGCACTTGAATTTAAATGAACATGGACCACCAGGGCAACTTTTAATGTGGGATGAAGCCATTGGAAGGCAGAAACTTTGGTGATAAATTCCAAATGGGAAGAAGGCTAGTCCCACTCACATTCCCTTCAGATATAGGAAGGGAGGCGTGAAGAGTTGACTTTCTGTACATGTTGTAAAGTGGAAATTTGTTTTTTTAAGTGTCAAGCCTCAAAACCATGAGTATTCTATCAAAGATAGTCCCCCATTTCTTGTGTATCCACCAACAAGAATCTGGATTTTACACAAGCTATGTCCCTCAAAGTGTTAAATATGATGCAATAATTTCATTCTCAATATTCTTATGGTCTACCTGGTACTTTCATGGGTTCTTATTTGTGCTGATTATTACATTTTATCTATTTCATACAATTATCAAGTTATTGACTACACTAAGAATACCTAAATTTTACCAGTGACCAGATCATAGCACTGAGAATTTTGTAATAAAAATATGTCTACATATAATTATTATATAAGACCTAACTTGTCAATGCCTAGATTCTAGAAAATAAAAGAAAATGAACATGATCAACCTATGGTGAACTGGCAGCTGTATTCTCCATACTATTGCCGTAATTAGTTTTAAAATGATAAGTATTTCTGCTAGAGCTGAAATCTTTGATAGAAAATCCCAGGGAGTAAAGTTTTTGGCATAGTCTCCAAATTTGAATTTATACTTCTTAATTTATCTATATGTGTAAATTCATAGTTCTGGCTCTTATACCATCCTGATATCTTTCTCAGGTGGGCTAATATTAAGATTGTTTGTAATAGTAAAACAAAACAAAACATCACAACGGCAGTGACACACTACCTTTAGAAAAATTTTTGGTCAATTATCAGGAGAGGCTCCCTTTACCTTCGGGGGCGTTACGTTGATTAATACATTTTATTTTACAAAGCAATAAATGAAAGATGAAAAAGTGCTAAGTTGATATCAGTTGGAAGAGGATTTCAAGCATATCTCTTGATTTCCTAGTCATTAAATTATACTTAGATATAGTCCACACTTAATACTACTGTTAGTAAAGTCTCTTTTTTAAATGTTTCAAATGTCTGAGCAGACTTCGTAACTACCTGTTCCTTAGGAGCAGAGAAAATAAGTGGCCTATCACCAGGTCTAAGTGAATGACTGTATACTACATACACTTTCAAGGAACAAGATGATGTAACTTTTTCTTTTTTACTTAGGGCACTCATAAATCTCTAACAGGACTATTACTACATAGCATGAATATTTTTTCATAACCTTCCCCAAATTAAATATATATGTAATGGTATTGAACATATCAAAATTTCTCTCTGTCTTTTTGCTGTACCATGTTTTCCTATTGACTCTTACAGATACTTGTTTATAGAGAAAAGATACATTGCCAAGCAGGTAAATGGTCAAAACCTGGCCTGCTGAGGCAGAAGTCCCCTATTGTCCCCAGGAAATACATGTTGTATTAGCTTAATCTCTTCTGACTTTCTGGCTTTGTGCTTTGTAAAGTAACTTGACAGTTTCATCAACATTGATTAGGACCTTAAATAATCTAGTCTTATTCTGTGTTTTGAGATTTATCTCCCATTATTCTGTTAATGACCACATTGTTTTCTAGGACTATTTAACTATTCTTCAAACATTTATATATTAACTGGAATTATCATCACTTCAACTTCACCTTACTTTTACATTTAAACCATAGTACAGTTTTGAGATGTACTTTATATTCCAGATGCACTATTCAAAGGTATTACAAATATTTAGTGAAAATGGGAAGTGGAAAAGCCTGACAATTTTTAAGGGCAAATGGAGATTGGTGGTTTCATTTTAAGAGATGTTATTATGGTATATTTAGTACTTTCAAAAGAACAGTGCATAAATGAAAAATGGGGCCAATGTAAATTTATACATTTAAAAAGACTTCCATATTAATCAGGTTAGTAGAATAAATGAGCAAAGTTAAGGAATATTTCTGACCCAGTATAGGTAATTCTGTCATGGCAGGATGCCTCACAATTCTTTAGTGGCAAAATTAGGTATTTTGTAGAAATAGTATAGGTTCTTCTCTTCGGCCCCAATTATTTTATAAAATCTGTAGCTCCTTACACAGTACAAAAAACAATTCAGAAGAGAAAGATACATAGACTTGAGGGAGAATATTTTCTTATCTATGACACATTATAAAAATGTAAATTAGATGGCAGATTATTGCTCAGAGACTGTAACTCTTACAAAGGAAATCAAAGTATACAGCATGCTCATATTTGAGAATGCATGGAAGGCTATTAAAATTTTAATATTTTAGCTTATGAGCTGCACACCAGCTTCAATATATTTAGAGAGCTTTGTCAGAATTAACTACCAGAGATATGAATATGTAGTGCATTATGTGAAGATGCAACATGGCAACTATGGTCACGGGGACACTTTTTCAATAGCTTTTTTTTCTTGGAGTTCTCCAGAGTTATGTTGCCTGATGGAGTTGCCAAGGAAAACAGAAGGACAGTGAGAAAATATTGCCATTGAATAGACTCTTGTGGGGTTTGTTACAACCCCTAAGAGACTTGGCATTCTTTCTGGCTTGCCCCTGGCTGATCAATGTCATGATAATGGCAGATGATGGAGATCCAATAAGTGGGAATAACAAATACATAGTAGGAAAATTTTCATGATCATCTACATATGGGACATTCTAAAATTTGCTGTCAGGTCTCAAAAGAATTAAGAGGTGGAAATAAAATACTATCCTTTCATTTATCCTGTTTCCTTTTCTGACCACCTAGCCCTATAAGCTTTGGAGATGTGAGTAAGTTAAGAAAAGTATATGAGGATAAAAATGAAGACATTATTTGTACTTAATCAAAAGCAGATCTTGAGCCTGCAGAATAAAACTGAACACTGGTTGAGCAATTTATCTGAAATATTCATCTTGCAATACATCACATCAACCAGGAAAGTGCACCTTTGATTTCAATTGAGCTTAAATGTGTCCTTTGGTTCAAGATATCCTTAGCTTCCTCATCCAAGGGCCTGCCTTTTCCACTTTTTTATGACTTAATATATCCTTTAAATCTATAATTGGTCTCACAGATTACTCGTGTTCTTAGAGATGAAAGGGTACGAGATAGAGAAGCAAATTAATAGGTGATAAGGATTTTTATCTGTTGCATTTTTTATTAATGACTTGGAAGCCAGTGAAGGATCTGGGATAAAAATGTTGGTGATTTTCTCCCTAGATCTGCCTTTCTTCCAGTGTGATTTTTCTCTATAATGTGTACCACCACTCTACCATTTGCATTTCCAAAAACCTCTGCTTCTCACATTTTTCTACATCTAATTCATCAGAAAATCCTGACATTTCTATCAACAAAGTCTACTCAAAGTCCCTCCACTTCTCAGCTCTAACTCTCCCCCTATCTTAGTCCACACCACCACTATCTCACCTTGATTACTGCTTCCTAACTAGTGTCCCTGTTTCTATTATTCCTCTACTTTTGTTCTTCTCACTCAAGTCCTTAGTTCATACCTGGTTTTGCTATCTTTTCTCTATCCTATCTCATTTCCAAACCCCTTATCTTCCCCCAGCACTCCAATAGTTGCCTTATTTGTTCTTCCTCAAGTATACAAAAACCTTTTCTGTTTTACAGTCCTTCCACTTTCTCTTCCATCTGCCTGGAATGTACTTCCACAGAATTTACAAGGTTGTTTTCTAACCCTGATTTCATGAAAGCCTCTGTTCAAAAGTTACTTTTTCAGAAAGGCCTTCCCTGGACACCCTGTTTAAAATAGCATTCCTGCTCTTTTCTATAGTGGCACCACTTTTTTATAATATTTATTACTTCTTGACATGTACATTATATATTGATTTATTATCTCTTTTCTCTACAAGAATGTATGTTTTATGTGTTTGGGGACATCTGTGTTTTGTATACTGCTATGCAACTAGCACAAATAATGTCATTTGCATGGTCTATATTGAATAAATAATTATTGAATAAATAACTGAATGGTTACTTCTGGGGGAATGTTGAAATCATGTACTGGTTCCTACCTCATCTTAATGCAGGATCCACCAACTACAGGATCAGTTTGTCATTTTGTCCAAGTTTCTCGTAAGCATAATCAGAAATCAGATTTTTTTTGCCCTTTGAATTTTACTGTCATAAACAGAAAAAAATAAGAATTAATATTTTAAAAATAACACATCGCTAATCTTACTGAAAATCTGAGACCACAATTATCTCATCTCCTCCTTTTCTTTTTTCTGTAGAGGATATGTGACTGAGAAAATGACAGATAGCTCACTGATAGAATTACTTAGTACTTCCTAAATCAAGATTAATTTTTATACCAGGCATCAGTAGTCTATGTGGCTCTGGGGATTAAGCTGAGCATTCAGCTTTTATTTCTGGACCTCTCATGGGTTTGTTGGGTGACCTTTGGACAGTTAATGAGTTACCAGTGTTGACAAGGTTATGGTAAAGATTGATGATATGAACTCTATGAATGGCTCAGAACCCTTGGAGAAAACTATATGGCATTTTCTGTCTTATATTTAATGACTTTATTTTATTAAATTACCTGGGAGAGATAAATCCACTTCCATCAATGACAGAGTATCTTCTATCAGACAAATATCCTTGTTGTCAACTACTCTAAAAGCTATAGAAAATTAATCTTACAAAATAACTCTTTGATATCATCATTTGAGGAGCCAAACAATTCAGAATTTGGAGGATCAATATCTTAGAGGGTAAAGTAACATATTTATGTGAGTCCAGAATCCTCTATCACTTTTGCATTTGAGACATTTGTTGATTTTTAACGTGTGAATACTGATAGCCAACTTGCAAATTCGAAGCTAAAAATATAAGTAAGGCTTTTTATAGTCTTATGTCACTAGAGTAAAAAAGTAATTAGGTTTCAGGGCCAACTAGGAATGAGGGGACTTGATTAACATTCCAGAGTTTGAGCTGTGATGAAGTCCACACCCTAGGAAAGAGAACAAATCAAAATTTTAAAAAAGCAGTCAAAATATGCTTAAATCTTCCCTCAAACAATTTCATTTCTTAATTAGCATTGTGTTGATTGTTTCTACTGTAACTACCTGCCAAACAAAAGTGAATTTTATCTGAAGGAAGAGAATATAGTACAGAATTACTGCAAGTTTATAAATACAATATTGAATTCCATGAAAATTGCCAAATATGCCAGTAGGTAAGACCAGATGACCTTAAACCAAGAGATAGACACTGAGATGGAACCTACAGATGATCCAGATAGTCGAATTATAGCAAGATAAGGGCTTTATATATTTACATAGAGGTCTTTTATTAGAGACATGATTTGGAAGTGTTTTCTACTTATCAATGGCTTATCCTTTATTCATATAACAGTATCTTTTAAAAAATAAAAGAATGACGCTCTATCAATTTTATTTTTTATTGATTTTATTTATGTATTATTTAAGAAATCCTTGCTTAAGTCTAGATTACAATTTTTTCCTATAGTAACTTTCAGAAATTTTACAGTTTTAGGTATGAATTTTAAATCTATTATCTATTTTGCATAATTTTTGTATATGATATGCGATATATATCAAAGCTCATCATATATTTGAGCACCACTTGGGAAAAAACTACTCTTTCTCCATTAATTGTCTTTGTGCCTCTGAGAAAAATCAGTTGTTCATACATGTGGAGATCTCTTCTGTGCTCTCTATTCTGTTCCATTGACTTATATAAAAAACGCATGCTATTAACTATTGTATCTTTATACGTCTTGACATCAATTAGTGATAGTTTTCCCAATTTGCTCTTTTTCAAAGTTATTCTAGATATTCTCAGCCCTTTTTAGTTTTACATGAAGTTTAGAATCAGCTAATTTTTTTTATTATACTTTAAGTTTTAGGGTACATGTGCACAACCTGCAGGTTAGTTACATATGTATACATGTGCCATGTTGGTGTGCTGCACCCATTAACTTGTCATTTAACATTACTTATATCTCGTCATGCTATCCCTTCCCCCTCCCCCGACCCCACAACAAGCCCCGGTGTGTGATGTTCCCCTTCCTGTGTCCATGTGTTCTCATTGTTCAATTCCCACCTATGAGTGAGAACATGCACTGTTTGGTTTTTTGTCCTTGTGATAGTTTGCTGAGAATGATGGTTTCCAGCTTCATCCGTGTCCCTACAAAGGACATGAACTCATCATTTTTTATGGCTGCATAGTGTTCCGTGGTGTATATGTGCCACATTTTCTTAATCCAGTCTATCATTGTTGGACATTTGGGTTGGTTCCAAGTCTTTGCTATTGTGAATAGTGCCGCAATAAACATACGTGTGCATGTGTCTTTATAGCAGCATGATTTATAATCCTTTGGGTATATACCCAGTAATGGGATGGCTGGGTCAAATGGTATTTCTAGTTCTAGATCCCTGAGGAATCGCCACACTGACTTCCACAATGATTGAACTAGTTCACAGTCCCACCAACAGTGTAAAAGTGTTCCTATTTGTCCACATCCTCTCCAGCACCTGTTGTTTCCTGACCTTTTAAAGATCGCCATTCTAACTGGTGTGAGATGGTATCTCATTGTGATTTTGATTTGCATTTCTCTGATGGCCAGTGATGATGAGCATTTTTTCATGTGTCTTTTGGCTGCACAAATGTCTTCTTTTGAGAAGTGTCTGTTCATATCCTTTGCCCACTTTTTGATGAGGTTGTTTGTTTTTTTCTTGTAACTTTATTTGAGTTCATTGTAGATTCTGGATATTAGCCCTTTGTCAGATGAGTAGATAGCAAAAATTTTCTCCCATTCTATAGGTTGCCTGTTCACTCTGATGGTAGTTTGTTTTGCTGTGCAGAAGCTCTTTAGCTTAATTAGATCTCATGTGTCAATTTTGGCTTTTGTTGCCATTGCTTTTGGTGTTTTAAACATGAAGTCCTTGCCCATGCCTATGTCCTGAATAGTACTGCCTAGGTTTCCTTCTAGGGTATTTATGGTTTTAGGTCTAATATTTAAGTCTTTAATCCATCTTGAAGAATCAGCTAATTTATGGAAAAAAAAGCTTGCTTGCATTTGTTTGAGATTATATTAATCTATGTCTATTTGGAGAGGAATCAATACATTGAAAATATTGAGTCTTTCAAATCATAAACATGGTATATCTTTTTATTTAGTTTTTTTAACTTTGTAATAACTTTTTATTCTTCAGTGTACAAATCTTGCACATATTTTTTTCAGATTTATCATTAAGTATTGAGTATTTTATGATGATATCATATGTGATGATTTTAAAATTTCAAATTTGATTGCATACTGCTAATATGTAGAGATAAAAATGAATGTTGTATATTGATCTTGTATTATATAAGCTTTCAAAACTCACTCATTTTAGTTCTAATAGTTTTTCAAATAGAAAATGGGGAAAATATTGGAACAGGCGCTTTGCCGAAGAAGATACGTACATGGCAAATAAACACATGAGAAGATGCTGAAAGTTATTAGTACTTAGACAATTCCAAATTAAAAGGAAATAGCTATTAGATTGGCTAAAATTAAAAAGAGTGAGCAAGACTATGGAACAACTGGAGCTCTCATATACTGTTGTTGAGAATGTAGTAGGAATGTCACCATTACTTTGAAAAATAATTTAGCAGCTTCTTAAAATGTTATATATTTATCTACTATCTTAGTCCATTTTCGTTGCTGTAAAGAAATACATGAGGCTGGGTAATTTACAAAGAAAGGAAGTTTATTTGGCTTATAATCCTATAGATGGTAAAATAGGCATGGTGCCCGTATCTGCTTCTGGTGAGAGCTTCAGGAAACTTTTGATCATGGTGGAAGGTGAAGAGGATCAGGGATCACATGATAAGAGGAAGGAAGGGTGAGAAAGGGGCGGGGTGGGGGGGGGAAGGGTGCCACACTGTTCGAAACAAACAGCTTGCATGTGAACAAATAGAGGAAGAAGCCACTCATCACTGTGATCATAGCAAGCTGTTTTTATTGAGAGATCTGCCTCCATAACCAAAACACCTCCCACCTTGGCCCACCTTTAACGTTGGGGTCCATATTTCACCATAAGATTTGGAGGGGACAAATATCCAAACTGTATTATCTACTATATGATTAAACAATTTCTATCCTAGGTATTTACCCAAGAGGAAAGAAGTCAAATGCTAATTATAAACACAAAAGCAAAACTTGTGTGCAAATGTCTAAGCAACCCAAATGATCATCGTATGGTAAATGGATAAGCATATTTTAGTATATTCATACAATGAACTATTAATCAAAAATAAAAACAAAACAGTACACTATTCACGATTCCATTTTTATAAAATTTTTAGAATATGCAAACCAATCTATAGTAACAGCAGATCTGGTGGCTTCAGAAACTTTTAGGAATTATTAATATGCTGATTGTCTTGAGTATGGGATTATTTTCACAGATACATGTGCATGTCAAATTGTATATTTTTGAATCCTTTAATATTTGCAGTTGCAATGTATTGCGTATCACTAATGACTACATAGAATGGTTCAAAAATATAAGAAAGCAATACATATAAAAACCATTATAATTCTGATTAACATATACAAGTAAATAAGTGACAAGTAGGATAATTGAATTATAAAGCATAACCTATAAAATAATCAAAAAGAACTTTAGAATTAAAAAAATAACATATCAATAACTCAATATCTGGGTTTACAGCAAATGAGCAGCAACTAAAGAAAGGATTAAGAAACTTTTGTAGAAACTATCCTGGCTGGAGTACAAGCAACTGAAGAAAGGAGGAAGAGGAGGAAGAGGAAACAAGGAAGGAGGAGAAGAGCATGAGAGACATATGGAAAATGGTAAGATAACTTACTTACATATAATTAGAATCTCTGAAAGAGAGGCAAGACAGGGCCAAACCATTAGGTAAAGATATAGTGGCTGCGAAGTTTTAAAAATGAACAATAGACATAAATACACAAATTCAAAGCATTTTACAACACAAACTCAAATAAATGTAATAAAAGCCACATGTAAGCACCTCATAGTTAAATTATTAAATCTAAGAAAAGTAGGTAAGAGCCCATGAAGTTTGGAAGTATAAGAATAAACATGATGGCCGGGTGCAGTGGCTCATGCCTGTAATCCCCACACTTTGGGAGGCCAAGACGGGTGGATCATGAGGTCAGTAGGTCGCGACCATCCTCGCCAGCATGGTGAAACCCCTTCTCTAATAAGAATATGAAAATTAGCTGGGTGTGGTGGCACACACCCGTAATTCCAGCTACTTGGGGGGCTAAGGCATGAGAATCGCTTGAACCCAGGAGGTAGAGGTTGTGGTGAGCTGAGATCGTGCCACTGTACTCCAGCCTGGAGACAGAGTGAGATTCCCTCTCAGAATAAACATGATGTGAAAATTTATTACCAAGAAATTAAAATGATTACAAATAGAGTTTAGCTCAAGAGCATGAATGAAAATAATATATCATGGTATAAGAGTCAAGCCACAGGGAAGACAGCTATTACAAATTTATGTGTACTTCATAGCATGGCCTTAGAATATGTAACACAGTATGTATTGCTATAAAAGAAGATAAAATACAATGGGAAATCATAATGTAAGAGTGGATTAAGAATTAAAATTAAAGGCATTTTATTATATTAGTTGAAAAAAGAAATTAAAAATAATTATGTCCAGATAGAAAAAATATATACAAATAACATCCATCACAATTAAAACTATTGATGTCTATTAATATAATTGCCTTATTCTGGTAAAGATTATGTATAACAAACTTGGAGAAAATGTTATTCTTAAAGGTTAATGTTGGCAGTTTTACCTCTGTAATCAAGAAACACACACAGAGGCCCAATATTATCACTCCTATTAAGCATTGAAAAGAAGATATGAAAGTATCTCTGTTTTTTTTTTTTTTTTGATTTGGGAGCAGTAATAGTATTGGTTTAGGATGTGGAATAACTGGAACTATCCTACATTGCTGGTGGGATTTTAAGTTGATTCAACCATTTTGGAAAATTGTGTGGCAGTAGACACTACAGCAGAGTATAAGCAAACCCTGTTACCCAGTATTTCTTCCCACATAACAGAAATATGTAAATGTATGCAACAAAGGCCACACACAAGTATACTCACAGAAGCACAATTAATAATAATCACAATTAGAAACAATTCAAATTTCCATCTATAGTAAAATAAATACCTTTTAGTTTATACCATGGAATACAAAATAGCAACAAAAATGCAAACTAATGGTAATATAAAAACATGAATTAACCTCTAAACATAATGTTGAAATAATGAATTGTTAAACAGTGTTACACATTATATGATTTTATTTACATAAAATCAACAAATAGGCAGAATTAATCCATTGTGATAATAGTCAAGAGTGAAAGTGATGTCACCAAAATGGCATAGTAGAATCAACCTGAGTTCATGGTCCTTACAGAAAACAAAACAAAATGAAAAAAACACAGCACCAAGCTTATCATCAGCAATATCCAGAACTGAGATCAAACACTGAGACAATCCCTAAGCACACCGAAAATTGAAAGACTCTGAGAAGATGGTAAAAGAAATGACCTTCTCTATCCAAGTAAAGCCTTCCCCAATCTGCCAAGCACCACATGCAGGAAATTCCCACTGAACTCAGAGTTGTTTTACTGGAAAAAATGAGATTGAGGCAGACATCCAGCTTTCTCACTATCTTAGGTTCACATTCAGGAACCTGCCTTAACCCATGAAAAGCACTGCAGGTGCATGTAGAAAGAAAAAACTCTGAGAGCATTTCTAGGCAAAGAGGGGTGGTAGGACTAGAAAGCTCAGCCTCTGACAAACTGTGCTCTTTATTTCAGTCAAAGGAGATGGCAAATCAAAGTAGATATTAAGCAGCACCATCCTGTAGGAGGCACACTCATGAGTCTTCTGTGCATGAACCCCTAGCCAGCCATCTTACACAGCTGGGCTATCTGCTTTGCCCACCCCCACTCCAATTAAGGATGGGGAGCGCTCTGAATGTTTATGAGAGCTGAGGCAAATTTGGGCTTAAGGCACAAGCTAGTGCTGAAAAGAAGCAGAGATCTAGGATAAAGGGGACTCAAAAGGCAACTGCAAAGACCTCTAAGCAACTATGCCCTAGAAAGACCAAAACAAGCCAGACAGCAAAGGCTGGAATAAATAACTAATTATTCAATGTGAAGCAACAGCTATACATAACAGCAAACAGAAACCCATGATCACCCCAATGGACAAAATAAGGAGGCAGTGATCAACCCTAATGAGATTATGATTTGTGAGCATCTAAATCAGTAATTCAAAATAGCAATTCTAAGGAAAGTCAGCAAACTTCAATATAACACAAAAAAGCAATGCAAAAATGTATTGAAATTTAACAAAGATATTAAAATAATTTATACAAATCAAACAGAAGTCTTGGAACTAAGGAATACATTTGCGGAATAAAAAAATGCATTAGAGGCTCTCAATAGCAGAATGGATTCAAGTAGAGAAAAGAACCAGTGAGTTCAAAGACAGGCTGTTTGAAAAGATACAGTCAGGGGAAAAAAAGAATAAAAAAATCTGACAGGATATAGAAAATAATATCAAAGTATAAATCTAAGTCATTCATGTTCAAGAGGGAGGTGAGAAAAAGCAAGAGGCAGAAAACGTATTCAAAAATATGATAATATAAAACACTCCAAACCTAGAAAAATATATATAAATCTAGGCATGGCGAGGTTAGATGTCACCAAACAGATTCAACAGAAGACTATCCCAAGGTATATAATAATCAAATGCTCAAAGGTCAAGAACAAAGAGAGGATCTTAAAACAGCAAAAATAAAAGAAGCAAATAACACATAAAGGGAGATCTGCTTTGTTTGGCCACATACTTCCCAGAGGAACCCATGAAGGAAAGGAGGGAGAGAAGGTATATGGAAAGTGCTGGAAAAAATCTTAACTGTCAACTGAGAACACTATGCCCAGCAAAGATTTTCTTCAAACATTAAGGAGAGAAAAAATTTTTCCCAGAAAATCAAAAGCTGGGGGGAAAAATCATCACTAGATCTGTCTTACAGAAATGCTAAAGGAAGTTCTTCAACCTGAATCAAAAGAGCACTAATGTGGAAAAAGAAAACATTTGAAGATGTAAAACTCACTGATAAAAGTAAGTACACAAAAAAATTCAGAACACTCTAATATTGTAATTGTGTGTGATCCACTTATATCTCCAGTCTGAAGACTAAAAGACAAATCTATCAAAACTAATAACATTTACAGAAGCCTGTTAAGTGATAGACAATATAAAAAATGTAAATTGAGACCATAAGAAATCAAAATGTTGGCGGATAGAGTTACAGTGTAGAGTATTTCAGTTCTTTCTCTTTTTTTGTTTCTTTTTTTTCTTAATGGTCAAAATTGTCTGTTTACAATAACTGTTTATATCTTTAAGATATTTTTGTAAGCCTCATGATAACCACAAAGCAAAACCCTATCATAGATACACCAAAAATAAAATGCAACACATTTAAAAATATTATCAAAGAAAATTACGTAACCACAAAGGAAGACAGTAAGTAAGGTGGAAAAAAGGAAAAGAGAAGTTACAAATCAACCAAAAAACAAGTAACAATATGACAGTAGTACCTCCTTAGCTCTCAACAATAACACTGAAAGTAAATAGACTGAATTCTCCAATTAAGTGGCATAGAGTGGTCAAATAACAAGAGCAATAAAAACAAAAACAATTTAACCATATGCTACCTGCAGGAAATTCACTTTACCTGTAAAGACATACCTAAACTGAGAGTAAAGGGATGGAAAAAGATATTCTATGCAAATGGCAACATAGAAGATTAGGAGTAGCTATATCTATATGAGATAAACAGATTTTAAGTCTAAAACATTAAAAAGAAACAAAGAATGTCATTATATAATGATAATGTGTTAAATTCAGCAAGAGGATATAACAAGTCTAAATGTATATGCATTCAACATTAGAGCACCCAGATATATAAAGCAAATATTTTTAGATCTAAAAGGAGGGATAGACTCCAATACAATAATATTTGAGAGCCTGAACATCCCATTCTTTGCATCAGATAGATCATTGAGACAGAAAATTAGCAAAGAAACATCAGAATTAAACTACACTATAGACCTTTACAGGACCTAACTGACATTTACAGAAAATTTTATCCAACTGCTTCAAGAGTATACATTTTTCGCATCATTATATGATAGAATCTCCAGGATAGACCATATGTAAATACACAAAGTAAGTCTCAACAAATTCAGAAAAGTTAAAATCATATCAAATATCTTTTCCAACCACAATGGAATGGAATAAAACTAGAAAACAATAGCAAGAGGAACTTTGGAAACTACAAACACATAAAATTAAATAACATGCTCTTAATGAATCACTGGATCAATAAAGAAATTATGGTGAGGTGTGGTGGCTCATGCCTGTAATCCCAGCACTTTGGGAGGCCGAGGTGGGAGGATTGCTTGAGCCTAGGAGTTTGAGACTAGCCTGGGCAACATAGTGAGACCCCATCTCTATGAAAAATAAAATAATTAGCCAGGTGTGTTGGCACATATCTGTAGTTCCAGCTACTCGGGGAGTGAGGTGAGAGAATCACATTAGCCCTGGCTCATTGTTAAAGAAAATTTTAGAATTTCTTGAACAAAATGAAAATGAAGATACAACATATCAAAATCTATGCCATACAACAAAAGCAGTGCTAAAAAGAAAGTGTACAACAATAAATAGACTTACATCAAAAAAGTAGAAAGACTTCAAATAAACAAGTTAATGATGCACCTCAAGGAACTAAAAAAGCAAGAAGAAACCAAAGCCAAAATTGGTGGAAGGAAATAAGCAAAAAAAAAAAAAAAAAAAAAAAAAAAAGAGCAGAAATGAACACAATTGAGACAAATAAATACAAAAGAGCAATAAAAAAATTTTGTAAAGATAATAAACATAGTTTCCAAGAAAAAAAGAGAACAGCCCCAAATAAATAAATTCCAAAATAAAAAGGAATACATAACAACTAATAACACAGAAATTCAAAGGGTTACTAGAGAACATTATAAACACCTATGCACAAATTGGAAAACTTAGAAGAAACAAATGAATTCATGGATATACCAAATCTACCAAGACTGACCCATAACAAAATAGAAAACTGGAGCAATCAACAATGAGTAATAGGATCCAAGCAGTAACCCAATGTCCTCCATCAAAGAAAAGCCCAGGACATGATGATTTCACTGCCTAATTTTCCCAAAGATTAAAAACCAATGCCAATTCTACTCAAACTATTCCAAAAAAGTGAAGAAGAAGAAGAAGAAGAAGAAGAAGAAGAAGAAGAAGAAGAAGAAGAAGAAGAAGAAGGAAGAAGAAGAAGAAGAAGGAAGAAGAAGAAGAAGAAGAAGAAGAAGAAGAAGAAGAAGAAGAAGAAGAAGAAGAGGAAGAAGAAGAAGAAGGAATACTTTCAAACTTATTCTGCATGGCTAGTATTATGCTGATATGAAAACCAGACAAGGAAACAACAACAACTACAGGCCAAACCCTGAGGAAATTAGATGTAAAAATTCTTGACAACATACTATCAAACCAAATTTAATAACACATTAAAAAGTTATTCACCATGATAAAGTGAAATTCATCGCAGAGATGCAAGCATGGTTCAACATATTCTAGTCAATAAACGTGCTACATCACATTAATGAGAACAAAAGCTGTATGATCATTTTGATAGATGCTGGAAAAACATTCAACATAATTTAGCATCTCTTTATGATAAAAACTCACTTCACAATCTATACATCTGACAAAGTACTAAGATCCAGAATCTACAATCAACTCAAACAAATTAACAAGAAAAAAACAAACAGTCCCATCAAAAAGTGGGCTAAAGACATGAATAGACAGTTCTCAAAAGAAACTATATAAATGGCCAACAAGAATATGAAAAAAATGCTCAAACTCACTAATCAGGAAAATTCAAAACCACAATGTGATACTACCTTACTCCTACAAGAATGGTCATAATCAAAAAATTAAAAAAATAGGCCAGGTGTGGTGGCTTATGTGTAATCCCAGCACTTTGGGAGGCTGAGGTGGGCTAATTAATTGAGGTGAGGAGTTTGAGACCAGCCTGACCAACATGGTGAAACCCTGTCTCTACTAAAATACAAACATTAGCCAGGTGTGGTGGTAGGTGCCTGTAATCCCAGCTACTCAGGAGACTGAGGCAGGAGAATTGCTTGAACCTTGGAGGTGGAGGTTGCAGTGAGCCAAGATGGCACCACTGCACTCCAGACTGGGCGGAAGAGCGAGACTCCTTCTCAAAAAAAAAAAAAAAAAAAAAAAGAAAGAAAAAGAAAAAAAGGCCAGGCGCGGTGGCTCAGGCCTGTAATCCCAGCACTTTGGGAGGCTAAGATGGGTGGATCATGAGGTCAGGAGATCAAGACCATCCTGGCTAACACGGTGAAACCCCATCTCTACTAAAAATACAAAAAATTAGCTGGGCATGGTGGCAGGAGCCTGTAGTCCCAGCTACTTGGGAGGCTGAGGCAAGAGAATGGCATGAACCTGGGAGGTGGAGCTTGCAGTGAGCTGAGATTGCACCACTGCACTCCAGCCTGGGCAACAGCGAGACTCCGTCTCAAAACAAACAAACAAAAAACAAAACAAAATAAAAAAAAAAAACAAACATGTTGGCGTGGATGTGGAGAAAAGGGAACACTTCTACACTGCTGGTGGAGATGTAAACTAGTACAACCACTATGGAAAACAGTGTGGAGATTCCTCAAAGCACTAAAAGTAGAACCTCCGTTTGATTCAGCAATCCCACTACTGGGTATCTACCCAGAGGAAAATGTCATTGTACGAAAAAGATACTTGCTTAATCATGTTTATAACAGCACAATTCACAACTGAAAAAATGTGAAACCAGCCAAAATGCCCATCAAACAGTGAGTGGATAAAGAAACTGTGATTATATATATATATGTATGTATGTATGTGTGTGTGTGTGTGTGTGTGTGTGTGTATATATATATATATATGATGGAATACTACTCAGCCATAAAAGAATGAATTGATGGCACTTGCAGCAACCTGGATGGGATTGGAAACTATAATTCTAAGTGAAGTAACTTAGGAATGGAAAAGCAAACATTGCATGTTCTCATAAGTGGAAGCTAAGCTATGAGGATGCAAAGGCATGAGAATGATACAATCGACTTTGGGGACTCAAGGGGAAAGGTTGGGAAGGGGGTGAGGGATAAAATACTACAAGTTGGGTTCAGTGTACACTTCTCAGGAAATGGGTGCACCAAAATCTCACAAATCACCACTAAAGAACTTACTCATGTAACCAAATACCACCTGTTCTCCAATAACCTGTGATAAAAAAATTCTTAAAACAAAAAACAGCCTAAGCATAGGCTGGGTACAGTGGCTCACTCCTGTAATTCCAGCACTTTTGGAGGCCGAACTGGGAGGATCACTTGAGCTCAGGAGTTAGAGACCACCCTGGCCACACAGTGTGACTCTGTCTCCACGAAAACAAAAATAATTCACTGAGTATAAGCAAGCAAACAAATTTAACTGGGTATAGAAGGAACATACCTTAAAACAATAAAGGCCATATATGACTAGTTCATAGCTGACACCATACTAAATGTAGTAAAGTTGAAAGCTTTTCCTTTAAGATCTGAAACAAGACAAGGATGATCAGTTTTACCACTTTTATTCAATATGGTACTGGACGTACTAGCTATAGGAATTAGGCAAGAAAAAGAAATGAAAGGCAACAGAATTGGAAAAGAAAAAGTCAAATTAGGCCAGTCCTGGTGGCTCATGCCTGTAATTCTAGCACTTTGGGAGGCCAAGGTGGGAGGATCACTTGAGCTCAGGAGTTTGCGGCCAGCCTGGAAAACATAGTGAGACATCGTCTCCATTAAAAAAAAAAAAAGGAAACATATGTAGAAAAAGTCCAATTATTCTTGGGCATGCATGACATACTATATTTAGCAAAACATAAAGATTCCACCAAAAATCTCTTAGAACTGATAAATAAACTCATTAAGGTTGCTGCATACAAAGTCAGTACACAGAAGACAGTAGCACATGTATGTACCAGTAATAAACTAGCTGAGAAAAAATCAAGAAGGAAATTCCATTTGTAATAGCTACAAAAAAAAAAAGCTCTAGGAATAAATTTAACTGAGGTGAAAGATCTCAAGGAAAGGTACGAAACAATGATGAAAAAGAATTCAAGAGGACACAAACAAATGCAAAGACATCCTATGCTCATGGATCAGAATGATTAATACAGTTAAAATGTCTATACTACAATAAAAATTCTGTAGACTTAATGACATTCCCATGAAAACATAAATGATGTTCTTCACAGAAATAAAACAAAAAAGTCCTAATATTTGTATGGAACCACAAAAGACCCTAAATAGCTAATACAATTCTGAGCAAAAAATAACAAAGCTGGAGTTACCACACTACCTGACTTTAAAATATACTACAAAGCCATAGCAACAGAAACAGCATAGCGCTAACATAAAAGCAAACATATAGAGCAATGAAACAGAATACAGAACCCATAAATAAATGCATGAATTTATAGCAAACTCAATGTTGACAGGGGTACCACAAATATACATTGAAAAGGGGGCAGTCTTTTCAACAAAAGGTGCTGGGAACTGTGGGTAGTCATATACAGAAGATTTAAGCTAGATCTCTATCTCTCACCATATTACAAGTCAAATGAAATCAAAATGGAATAAAAGTTTAAATGTATGACCTACCACCATGAAACCTCGAGAGAGAACCATTGGGGTAATGATTCATAACATTGGTCTAAGCAAAGACTTTTTTTAGGTAGGACTTCAGAAGCACAGACACCAAAGGCTATAATAGATAAATGGGACTATATTAAACTAAAAAGCTTCTGCACAACAAATAAAACAATAAACAAAGTGAAAAGACAACCTACAGAAGTTAAGAAAACATTTGCAAATTATTCATCCAACAAAGTATTAATAATCAGAATATATAAGGAACTCAAACAACTCAAAAGCAAAAAGTAAAAAAAAAAAATCTGATTTTAATGGCCAAATATCTGGATAGACATTTCTCAAAAGAAGAAATGCAAATGACCAACAGGTATATGAAAAACTGCTCAATATCAATAATCATTAGGAAAATGCAAATTCAAGTCACAAGAAGATATTATCTCCCTCTAGGTAAAATGACCTTTATCAAAAAGACAGGGAATAACAGAAGCTGGCAAGGATGTGGAGAAAGGGGAATTTTGTAACACTGTTGGTGGGAATGTAAATTAGTACATCCACTATGGAAAACATTATGGAGGTTTTTCAAGAAATAAAAATAAACTACCATATAATCTAGCAACTCCACTACTAGATAAATATCCAAAAGAGA
Source organism: Homo sapiens (assembly GCF_000001405.40). Taxonomy (NCBI): domain Eukaryota; kingdom Metazoa; phylum Chordata; class Mammalia; order Primates; family Hominidae; genus Homo; species Homo sapiens. The sequence goes on along the minus strand of NT_187530.1, from coordinate 23,147 downwards.
GTAAATTAGTATATCAAAGAGATATTTACACTCCCATGTTTATTACAGCACTATTCTCAATAGCTAAGATAAGAAATCAATCTAAGTGTCAATTAATGAATGAAAGAATAAAGGAAATGTGGCACATATTCACAATGCAATATTGTTCAACCATAAAAAAGAATAAAATCCTGCCAATTGCAGTTACTTGGATGGAACTGGAGGTCATTATGTTAAGTGAAATAAGCCAGACACAGAAAGATAAATATCACATGTTTTTACTTATATGTGGAAGCTACAAAAGTGGATTTCATGGAGATAGAAGAGTTGACTAGTGGTTATTAGAGACTGAGAAGAATCAAAGATATAGTAGGATGAAGAGAGGTTGGTAAGTGGGTACAAAAATATAGTTATATAGAAATAATAAGAGCCAGCATTTGATAGTACAGTAGGGTGACTATAGTTAAAAATCATTTTTTGTACAGTTCAAAATGGATGGATAAGAGAAATTGAAATGTTTCCAACATAAAGAAGAGGGAATATTTGAGTTGATGAATGTTCCAATTGCTCTGGCTTTATCATTACCCCTTGTATGCATGTATCAAAATATCACATCTACCTCAAAAACAGGTACCACTATATGTATCAATAAAAAATAAAATAGGAATATTTGCACCATCTGATTTTAACACATAAACCTACAGTAATTAAGATAATATAATATTTGGATAAAAGTAGATCGATGGAACAAAATACAGTCAAGACATTGACCAACTTACATATTGCCATATGATATGGTTTGGCTGTGTGTCCCCACCCAAATCTCATCTCAAATTGTAATCCCCAAGTGTTGAAGGAGGGACCTGGTGGGAGGTGATTGCATCATGGTGGTGGTTTCTCCTATGCTGTTCTTGTGATATTGAAGGAGTTCTCATGAGACGTGATGATTTTTAAAGTGGCAGTTTCCCCTGTGCTCTCTCTCTCTCCTGTCACCATGTAAGATGTGCCTTACTTCCCCTTCCCCTTCTGCCATTATTGTAAGTTTCCTGAGGCCTCCCCAGCCATGCAGAACTGTGAGTCAATTAAACCTCCTTTATTTATAAATTACCCAGTCTCAGGTAGTATCTTTATAGCAGTGTGAGAACAAAGTAATACAGAAAATTGCTATCAGGAGTGGGGTGCTACTATAATGATAACCTGAAAATGTGGAAGCAACTTTGGAACTGGGTAACAGGCAGAGGTCGGAACAGTTTGGAGGGCTCAGAGGAAGACAGAAAAATGTGAGAAAATTTAGAACTTCCTAGAGACTTGTTGAATGGTAGTGTCAAAAATGCTGATAGTGATATAGGCAATGAAGTCCAGGCTGAGGTGGTCTCAGTTGGATATTAAAAACTTATTGGAAACCAAAGCAAAGGTCACTCTTGCTATGCTTTAGCAAAGAAACTGGTGACATTTTGCCCCTACCCTAAAGATCTGTGGAAGTTTGAACTTAAGAAAGATTATTTAGGGTATCTGGCAGAATAAATTTCTAAGCAGCAAAATATTCAAGACGTGACCCAGCTTTTCCTGAAAGTACAGTTATATGTGTTCACTAAGGGATGGTTTGAAATTGGAACCTATGTTTAAAGGGGAAGCAGAGCATAAACGATTGGAAAATTTCGAGCCTGACGATGAGGTATTATAGAAAAAAAATTCTGTGGAAAAATTCAGGCAGGCTACAGAAATTTGACTAAGTAACAAGGAGACAAATGTTAATAGTCAGGACATTGGGGAGACGTCTCTGGGGCATGTCAGAGATCTTTGTTGCAGCCCCTCCCATTACAAGACCCAATGCCTTAAAGGGTAAAATGGTTTCATGATCCAGGCTCTGGGCCCTGCTGCTCTGTGCAGCCTCAGGACTAGGGGCCCTGCATCCCAGCCACTCCAGCTCCAGTGGCTAAAAGAGGCCAAGGTACAGCTTAGACCATCACTTCAGAAGATGCAAGCCCCAAGCCTTGGCAGCTTCCATGTTGGGTTGGGCCTGTGGATGCACAGAAGACAAGAATTGAGCTTTAGGAACCTCCACCTAGATTTCAGAGGATGTGTGGAAATCCCTGGATATCCAGGCAGAAGTCTGCTGCAGAGCAAGAGCCCTCATGGAGAACTTCTACTAGGACAATGCAGAGGGGAAATGTGGGGTTGGAGCTCCCACACAGGGTCCTCACTTGGGCACTGCCTAATGGAGGTTTGAAAAGAGGGTCACCAGCCTTCAGACCCCAGAATTGTACATCCACTGACTGCTTGCAACATGCACCTGGAAAAGTCTCAGGCACTCAATGCCAGCTCATAAAAGCAGCTGTGGGGGCTGTACCCTGCAGAGCGAAAGAGTTAGAGCTACCCAAGACCATGGGAGCCTACCCCTTGCATCAGTTTGCTCTGACTGTGAGATACGGAGTCAAAGGAAATTTTGGAGCTTTAAAATTTAATTACCGCCCTACTAGGTTGTGGATTTGCATGGGGCTTGTGGCCCCTGTGTTTTGGTCAACTTCTTTCATTTGCAATGGAAAGATTTACCTAATGCCTGTACCCCAGTTGGAACTTGGAAGTTACTAATTTGTTTTTTATTTTACAGGCTCATAGACAGAAGGGATTTTCCTTGCTCAGATGAGACTTTGGACTTGGACTTTTTAGTTAATGCTGGAATGTGTTAAGACTTTGTGAGACTGTTGGTTCCTCTAAATTTTCCAAACTTTTATTTTCTGCTTCCCCTTTAAACATAAGTTCCAATTTCCAGTCAGCCAGTGACCAGGGCTAAGAAGTTGTCCCAGACCATGAGACTCCCACTGAGAAAGCAAGCAGACTCACAGTTTTTTGGGATCTCTGAGATCCTTCAGTGGCAATCCAGTTCCTTCAAAGGGTCTGTGGATTCTCTTAGCTTTCCTGGTATGTTCCTGAAGTAGTTCTTGGAGCAAAAATTCACGATGTGAGTCTCTACATGCTGCTCTGTCTGTCTGGGTGAAAGCTGCTCCTAGCTAGTCCTGCTTCTGTCTGTCATCTTAATCTGCCACTGAGCCTTGAATCGTAATTTCTCTCTTACACCACATATAAAATTAACTCAAAATGGATCATAAACTTAAATTTAAAAATGAAAACTTTAAAACCCTTAGAAGTAGATATAAGAGATCATCTTTATGAACTGGAAGCCAGGCAGAAGTTTCTTAAATGCATAAAGCACTTAAGTAAGTTAATCTCTTAAACTAGATAGCAGAATAGTGGTAAGTAGTAGCTGGGAAGGGTAGCAGAGAAAGCGGATAAAAAGAGATTGGTTAACAGATACAAAATTACAACTAGTTATTAGGAATAAGTTCTAGTGTTCTATAGCATTGTAGGGTCTCTATAGTTAAAAATAATTTATTCTATATTTTCAAAAAAGCTCAAAAAGCCAGAAGAAAGATTTTGAATGTCCAGGCACAAAGAAATGATCAATGTTTAAGGTGATAGATATGTTAATTACTCTGATTTGATCATTATGCATTGTATAAATGTATCAACATTTTGCATGGTGCCCCATAAGTATGCAAATTTATTATGCATAAGTTAAAATGATTTAAAAAACAAAGGAGTAGTAATCTTTGGTGAAAGGGCGGGGCAGGCTTGAGCTGATAAACAATAGAGGAAATGAGGGAGGACTGTTAATCTATTTTGAGTCTCAGTGATGGAGATTATATCAATATATTTACTTGGAAATATTCATTGAGCTGTATGCTTATGACTTATGTACTTTAAAATATATGTTACACTTCAAATAAAATATTTACTTTAAAATACATATGAAAACTCAATTACATAATTCCTATTAATCTAAAGTAGTAGTATTTGGAGGACTTCATAAAATATGATCAGATTTTAGATATCCACATGAGCATTGTACAATTTTTCATTCATCTTGGAAAAAATAATAATTCCAGATGGATTTCTCTGCAGGCCATTTTTCTTTGCTTCTGCATTGTTTTGATGTTTGCGTTTGAATTTCATGATTAACAAAAACAGAAAATAATTTGGAAGGCATAGATCGCATTTTCAGAAAACACTCAAGTAATATATGCCAACACAAGCATAAATGAACTTCAGAGTATTACCTTCTCAGGATTTTCTGTGCTTCCCTCCCAGGTTTAGCCTAGGAAATCAAAAGTAGACTATCTTCTAGCTTATCATGCCTTTGAGAAACTTCCAAAGGCTTGAATGGAGAGGAATTGAATATACATTTGATCTACTCTAGGGGTGCAAACTCAGATGCCTGCAGGGACCAGCTGGAAACAGAAATGAGGTAATTCAGCTGGGGAAAATGGCAGAAAATCACTAAATATAAAATAAATTGAACTGGTGCAAGCATGATGATGAATGACATCTGACACCAAGAATTGATGGGAGCCATGGTCAAATAAAAAGCACATATCCTGTCCAAAGGCATGGCTACTCAGCTCCATGCAGGCATATAGGCATAATGTGTTCAGCTGCTTTTATTGTAAAGAGAAATTTGGAACTCAGAATTTGGTGTTTAAACTTCTTGATGTTTACATATTGATAATTAATTCAAAAGTTTGAAAAAATGCTGGGTAGTAAAACCAAACTAAACAGACCCATCTGAGATAGCCAGCCTATTTTCATCCTCTGCTCTACAGAGAAATGTTTCCAAATCCCAGCCCTTGTAGTATCTGTACTTATAAACATTAGTTGACTTTTTTTATGTTGTGAATATGAATTGTACAATAATAAAGTTTTCCACTTTGCTCTGATTGCTAGAATCCGAAGTTTGAATTTATGGTTTTCCTTTAGAAAATGTTGAAACTTAACATAAATATGTTTGTTTCTGTGCACGCGCGTGTGTGTGTGCGTGTGTATGTTTGTCAATGTGTATTCAATTTGTTAAATTAACCCTGGTTTCATAGAATAACTGTGTTTATTTGGCCTTTATTCTAATTTTCACATATTTGGCTTTATTTGGTGGTATTTTATGCCATTACATATTATGAAGCTGCTTCAAATATTTTTGGAATAGGGCTTGGTTATATGAATCAATCAAATGACTCAAGACATTATGATATAAGACAAAACCTTCTTAAGGACACAACAGATATTCTAGGCTAATATTACATGAGAGTAATATATCTGGAAAAGGTTGATACAGAAAGAAAAATCTAAGGTATGGCTAGAAAAAGAAAAGTCATACAATCTTATATATACTTCAATAAAAATGTGCTCAGAGATGTCAGTATTTAACTTTATAAGGGTGACTGTCTCAAGTACAATATTCCTATGGAAATGCCCACACAGGCTATGAGAGACTAATAATAAAATATTCAAATCAGATATCCATATTCCATAACCAGCATACCCAAAAGTAAACATTATAGTGTACAGAGTGGTCCCAGGGGGAAGATGTCACTGGACAGAACATCTACTCAAGTCCAATTATATGTGCACATTTTATTATCATCTGTGTGATGAAACTGAACCACTCCAATTCTGAGGTGGTGAGAAGCTCATGCCTCTGGCCTTTCAAGGCTCAGAGCTGGACTCCTGTAAATTTGCCAAGGTAGTGTCTCTTTGAAAGACAAGCAGCCATCTCTCTTGTTTTTTGAAAGTTTTACTTTGAGTGCTTACTGCAAGCATACATACATACATACCAGTTTATTAAAGGAAATAAACCAGAAAACTACCATGTAATAGAGGCACGATGAATCACAATCTATAGGCACAAAATTTTCTTTAATTTTTGCAATATCAGTGAGATACACACACACACACACACACACACTCACATGTATATAATTTTGCTGAAGAGGGAACTAAAATAAGAAAAAAATAAATGGCCTAAGATCACACAATTTCCATGAGGTGAAGACTGAATTTCAACCCAGATCAGCCTCAGTTGGTAACCTTTACAGTTTTCCTGAACATTCTCCACGTCGTGATTAATAAGGGAAAAAAGTGATTTGTAGAATAGAAGAACAATTTAGGGCCCAGGAAAACTTAGTCATGTTGAATAATTCTTTAATTAAGTGGTAATGTACTTTGTGCAAGACAACTTCTATGGCTAGTTGCTTTAAAATCCAGGCCAGTGATTCTTATTGTGGAAGGCTTCTAAATCATTCTGTAAAAATACATTAGAATAATGTTTATAGAGTACTCAGTAACTTGAGCAGAATCATATAGGCAATTTCACAAGCAGCTAGGCATGCAAAATATTTATCTTTCTTATTTTACTCTCTGAAAGTTATTCTCCTTGCAGATACTCTGGGAAATGCTGACATACAGTAAATTTGACATTTTCAAGGACTGTACCGGTGCTTTGGTGGACAGCTCTGTATAAACTGTTTACTGGGTTTCTAAAGCCTTTGGATATTTTATGACAAAACCTCATAACTTCTATTTATAAAAATATCCTTTGTAAAGGGAATCCATTTATTATAACTTGATTTCTGGTAGGAATAAATTGTCTTACATCCTTTTGCCTCCCATTCCTATTAATAAATGACAGAAGAAACAACAGCAACAATCTGATTCTCCCTGCCTTTTCATTTTCACGGCTGTCTCATCCTACTTTTTATGTCCCATTCTTTCATTGAATGGTATAGTTATTATACTATATAAATTTACAATAAGATCTAACAACAGGAGCTAGATTCTAAAATCAATTATTTTGGTAAAAGTGATAGTCAAAGTCATCCTGTAAAGTCACTGAAATCATGATGTAATTGCTAGGACCTGGGCCTAGCATAAGTAACAAAATCATATAAATATCTAACTATCTCAATAGGTGCAGAAAAAGAATTTGTCAGAATTCAACATCCTTTTATGATTAAAAAAAATAACTTTGAACAAATTAGGTATAGAAGGAATGTACCACAACACGATAAAGGCCATATATGGAAATCCTATAGCTAACATACCCAATGGTGAAAAGTTGCAAGTTTTTTCTCTATAATGAGGAATAAGAAAAGGATGCTCACTCTCATCAATTCTGTTCAGCATAACACTGGAAATACTAGCCATAGAAACTAGACAAGAAAAAGAAATAAAAGTTATCCAAATAGAGAAGGAAGTGAAATTGTCACTGTTTGATGAGATGATCATGTGGAAAACCCTAGAGACTCCACCAAAAAACTGTTAGTATTGATAAATTTAGTAATTTTGCAGGATACAAAATTAACACACAAAAATTAGTGTTGTTTCTTTACACAACAAAAACTATTCAAATAAGAAATCAATGTTATTTATAATAGCACAAAAACACTTAGGAGTAAATTTAACCAAGGAGCTGAAATATCTACATACTGAAATCTATGAAACAATTATGAAAAATAGTTGACATCATAAATAAAGGGAAAATATATTCACGGATTAGAAGAAAAAATATTTAAGATATCCATTCTGCTCAAAGTGAACTACAAATTTCGTGCAATCTTATCCATTCTGCTCAAAGTGAACTACAAATTTCATGCAATCTCTATCAAAATTTTAATGTCATTTTTCACAGAAATAGAAACAAAGCTTAAAATCTGTACGGAAACACAAAAGACCTCAAAGAGCCACAACAACTTTGAGCAAAAACAACAATAAATAAAGCTGGAAGTATCACACTCCCCGATTTTAAAATATAAAGTTATGGTAATCAAAACAGCATGGTACTGGCATAAAAATAGGCACATTGAAAAATGAAACAGGACAAAACATGCAGAAATAAACCCATGTATATATGATCATTGATCTTTCACAAATATACCAGAAAAAAAGTCATTTTCTTCAATAAATGGTGTTGAATAAACAAGATATCCATATGCTGATGGATGAAACTGTATCCTTGTCTTACATCATATTCATAATTTCACTAAAAAAATGGATAAAAAACACAAGCATAAGCCCTGAGATTGTAAAACATCTAGAAAAAAACCTGGGTGAAATGCTCCACAACACTGGTCTGAGCAAAGATTTCTTGAATATGACCCTGAAAACACAGCCAGCAAAACCAAAATTCAATAAATAGGATTCAATCAAACGAAAAACTTTCTATACAGCAAAGAGAACAATTAACAGAGTGAAGGAAATCCTATGGAATGGGAGAAAATATTTTCAAACCACAAATCTGATGTGAGGCCAATATCCAAAATATATGAGAAACTCAACTTGATATCAAGAAAACAAAGAACCCAATTAGAAATGGACAAAGGACCTAAATAGACATTTATTGGCATAAGTCATACAAATGGCTAACAGATCTCATCATCACGAATTATTAGGAAAATGCAAACTGCTACCACAATGAAACATCATCCTACACCTGTTCGAATGGCTATCATCCAAAAGATGAAAGATAACACGTGTTGGCAAGGGTGTGGAGAAAAGGGAAACTTATAAACTGTTAGTGGGGATGTAAATTAATAAAGACATTATGGAAAACAGTATGAAGTCTTCACAGCAACCTAAAAATAGAAGTACCATAAGATTCAGCGGTATATATCCAAAGAGATTGAAATCAGCATGTCAAAGAGATATCTGGACTCCCATGTTTATTGCAGCATTATTCACAACAGCTAACATGTAGAAACAACTTAGGTGTCCATCATTAGATGAATGGATAAAAAATGTGGTATACACATACAATGAAATACTATTCAACCTTAACAAAGAATAAAATCCTGTCATTTGCAACAACATGAATGAACCCAGAGGACATTATGGTAAGTGAAATAAGATAGGCACAGAAAGAAAAATAACATAAAATCTCACTTATATGTGAAATCTAAAAACAGAAGTAGGGAGTAGAATGGTGGCTTGTGGAGGCTAGGGGAGTGAAGTCAATGGGAAAGGGGGAGGTTGATCAAAAACTGTACAATTTCAAATAGACAAGAAGAATAAGCTTTAATGCTCTATTGCACAGAATGGTGGCCATAATAAATAAAAATACATCATATGTTCCAAAATTACCAAAAGAATGGATTTTAAATGTTTACACCACAAAAAATGATGAGTATATGAGTTGATAAATTTGTTAATTAGTTTGATTTAATTATTCCACAATGTAAAGCATATATCAAATATCACATTGTGCCCCACAAATATATAATATATACAATAATATTTTGTGAATTAAAAGTAAAATTTAAAAGATCTAAATAAGAATTTTTGGGAGAACAAAGAGACCTTGAAAAGTCATATATGACTAAATTTACAGTAATCAGGAGTAGAGTCTAACTTTCTATTTATTTCCTCTGCTATCCCTTTTTTTCTCTTCTCTTTTGATCGCTCATGCTAGGAATACAGAAAATCACACAAGATAACACAAATGCAATGTACAGACTCCACTCTAATATGTATTTGCTGATAAATATGCTATAAGTTTCTAGTTCCTGCCTTTGTCAAGTGTTTAGTCTATGTGCCTCATTGTGAAGAAAAAAAGTTTCCCTATCTTAATAGTGCTGTAATGCATATATCATGAAGTGACATATGGATTGTGCAGATAATATGCTTCGGGGAAGTTAAGTGGGGGAAAAATCATTTTTGAGAGTTCTGATTGAGGTTAGTAAACTCAAACAGTGTCAAGAATATACAGAAAATGTCTTGGAACATTAATCTGGGAGAGCTAAAGCAGATTTAAGAGTGGGTAGGAGTTGGACAAGTGAATTTGTAAAGTGGCTAGAAGAGAGGCTGCCATAGAGCACCTCACAGTTGCCTGCAACTCCACATGATCAAGACTTTCCAGCCTGGTTCTCGGGCGTACTTATTTGTTATCTAATTTCTTCAGCTTTGTTGAGGTGTAATAAATTCCATGGATTTAAAATATACATTTTAATGATTATTAACATACATAAATGCCCATAAATCCATCATTGCAATAAAGATAAACATAATACACACACACACACACACACACACACACACACACACACACACACACTGTATTTTGGGGTGTATATATATATAAATATATATTTATATTTATATATTTATATATTTATGTATTTGTTTTTATATACTTATATATATTTATATATGTGTATATATATTTATATATGTGTATATATATTTATATATGTGTATATATATTTATATATGTGTATATATATTTATATATGTGTATATGTGTATATATATTTATATATGTGTATATATATATTTATATATATATATATATATTTATATTTACCCCAAAAGTTTTTCTCATGTACTTTTGCAACCTCCTCCTGGAATACTTTTCCATTCACTCTATTCTCCACCTCCAAGTAACACTGATCTGAAGTGTTTTTGCTACACATTTGTTTTAATTATTTAGTAATTTACATAAATGAATCATATAGCATGTACTTTTTTGACAGGGATCTTCTACCATGTGACACAATTATTTTGAGATTCTTTCATGTATTGTGTGTGTCTTAGTTAATTCCTTTTTATTTCTGAATAGTATTCCATACCACCATGGATATACCAACATATGTTTATCCTTTTGCCTGTTGATGAACATTTCGGTTGTTTCCAGTTTTTAACTATTAAAATTAAAGCAGGTATAAATGTTCATGTATGAGTCTTTGCATAGGCATATATTTTCATTTCTCCTAGGTAAATACCTAGAGATGAAATGGCTGGTTTTAAGGTAGATGTACATTTAAATTTTAAAGAAACGTCCTATTTTTTTAAAGAAATGTACTTTAAGTTCTGGGATACATGTGCAGAATGTGCAGGTTTGTTACATAAGCACACAGGTATTATGGTGGTTTTCTGCAACTATCAACCCATCATCGAGCTTTTAAGCCCCACATGCATTAGGTATTTTTCCTAATGTTCTCCTTCCCCTTGCCCCCCACTCCCTGACAGGCTCCAGTGTGTCTTGTCCCTCTTCTTTTGTCCATGTGTTCTCACTGTTCAACTCCCACTAACGAGTGAGAACATGTGGTGTTTAGTTTTCTGTTCCAGTGTTAGTTTGCTGAGGATGATGGCTTCCAATTTCATCCGTGTCCATGCAAAGGACATGAACTCATTCTTTTTTATGGCTGCATAGTATTCCATGGTATATATGTAGCACATTTTCTTTATCCAGTCTATCATTGATGGGCATTTGGGTTGGTTTCAAGTGTTTGCTATTGTAAATAGTGCTGCAATAAACATACAAGTGTATGTGTCTTTATGGTAGAATGATTTATATTCCTTTGGGTGTATATCCAGTAATGGGATTGCTGGGTCAAATAGTATTTCTGGTTCTAGATCCTTGTGGTACACCCAGTATATACCTAGATCTTTGAGGTAATACCCAGTATTTAAGTCTTTGCTATTGTAAATAGTGCTGCAATGAACATAAATGTGCATGTGTCTTTATAGCAGAATGATTTATATTCCTTTGGGCATATACCCAGTAATGGGATTGCTGAGTCAAACGGTATTTCTGGTTCTGGATCCTTGAGGAATCCTTGAGGAATCGCCACACTGTCTTCCACAGTGGTCGAACTAATTTACACTCCTACCAAGAGTGTAAAAGTGTACCTATCTCTCCACATCCTTGCCAGCATCTCTTGTTCCCTGACTTTTTAATAATCACCATTCTGACTGGCATGAGATGGTATCTCATTGTGGTTTTGATTTGCATTTCTCTAATGACCAATGATGAGCTTTTGTTCATACATTTGTTGGCCACATAAATGTCTTTTTTTGAGAAGTATCTGTTCATATGCTTTGCCCACTTTTTGATGGGGTTGTTTGTGGGGTTTTTTTTTTTGGTATATTTAAGTTCTTTGTAGATTCTAGATATTAGACCTTTATCAAATGGATAGATTACAAAAATTTTCTCCTATTCTGTAGGTTGCCTGCTCACTCTGATGCTAGTTTCTTTTGCTATGCAGAAGCTCTTAGTTTAATTAGATCCCACTTGTCAATTTTGGCTTTTGGTGTTTTAGTCACGAAGTCTTTGCCCATACCTAAGTCCTGAATGGTATTGCCTAGGTTTTCACCTGGGGTTTTTATGGTTTTGAGTTTTACATTTACGTCTTTAATCCATCTTGAGTTAATTTTCATACACAGTATAAGGAAGGGATCCAGTTTCTGTTTTCTGCATATGGCTAGCCAGTTTTCCCAGCACCATTTATTAAATAGGGAATCCTTTCCCCATTGCTTGTTTTTGTCAGGTTTGTCAAAGATCAGATGGTTGTAGATGAGTGGTGTTATTTCTGAGGTCTCTGTTATTTTCCATTGATAATTATATATATCTGTATCTAACTATCGAGATATATATATATATATATATATATACACACACATATATATCTGTTTTGGTGCCTGTACCATGCTGTTTTGGTTACTGTAGCCTTGTAGTACAGCTTGAAGTCAGGATGCTTACAGCTTTGTCCTCCGCTTAGGATTGTCTTTTCTATACAGGCTCTTTTTTGGTTCCATGCATTCCTATATACAAATGACAGACAAGCAGAGAGCCAAATCATTAATGAACTCCCATTCGCAATTGTTACAAAGAGAATAAAATACCTAGAAATTCAACTTGCAAGGGATGTGAAGGAGCTCTTCAAAGAGAACTACAAACCACTGCTCAAGGAAATAAGAGAGGACACAAATATTCCATGCTCATGGATAGGAAGAATCAGTATAATGAAAATGATGATACTTCCCAAAGTAATTTTTAGATTCAGTGGTATTCTCATCAAGCTACCATTGACTTTCTTTGCAGAATTAGAAACGCCATATTTCTAAAGAGGTTGCATTATTTTACATCTACCAGTATTGTTTAAAGGTTCGATTTGCATGGTATTCCAGCTAACCCATGGTGTATTCATTTTATTTAATATTTGCTCTCTATTGTGAGGATGTAGTGATTTTGCATTGTAGTGTTAGCTTGGCCTTCATTTTTTAAAGGTTTTATAAGTTAAAGGAGATAGAGGAAAATGACATAATTCTGGCAGGGAAGAAGTTAAAAAGAGAAGAGAAAAGTAATGTAAACATTCAAATATGTATAGGGATTAGTAGTAGATACACAACTTTAAATGGTTCTATTAGAAAAGAAGTGACAGTTGGGAAGGTAAAAAAAATGTTAAATGAAGTTTTGGCATTATCCCTACAAAATAGAAAGTAACTTATACTGTGTATATGGCATGATTGTTGTGATAGATAGATAGACTATTCACACATTTTCAGGCCTGGTGGCCTAGGAAAATTGGAGAAAGATCAGTTAGGTAGCAATTACAATATTCCAGACAGAATATAATTAGAAGAAGATTGGTTTGATAATTAGAGAAAGAAAACATTTTATTAATGAAGATTTTCAGTGCTTGGTAACAATTATGATTATAAGGAGAAAACAAGGAAGAAGAAACCAGAATGACTTAGTAGATAAGAACTATACACCATTTTAGAAGAAAAATATATTATCTAATTTTAAAATGTTGAGTTTAGGGTAATATTAGTACTTTGATCTATGTCCATGTCCTAGATTTTTTTTTCTGAGCAGATGTTTCATCTTTAAGAAAAATAACATTAATACAATCATGTTAGCTAATAGCAAAATGTGGTTGCCATTTGAACATAATATACAAGGGATATTAATTTATTTAGTGATAAGGAGGGTGTGTTTCACCAGGAAAAAAAGTCTGCAAAATGACCAGATTTATTTGAATACTTTGCCAGATCTTGTTTTGGTGTTTATAAGATTTAGGACAGCGTGTATATTTTATTGATGGCTGTTAGGACAGTTATCCTTGGCTCTTTCACATTTCCACGTGTGGGATTGGAAGCAGAGGTCCTGGCGGCCTTTGTTCTGAAGCATCTCTTCAGGCATGTTTGTATAGCAAACTGACTTTTTGGATACAGAAAGGGTGTCTCTTTCTGGAGCAAAAGGCAGACTGATTTGTTGTCCAGTATGCTATAGGTAATGTCTCTCTCTTGGGAAAAAGTGGGACGAGCTTGCTGGCAGCCTCTTATAAATAATTGGAAATCTAAGTTTAGAGATCCTCAGCTGTGATACAAACTCACTGTATGAACAGAATCTACCTGGCATGCTTCGTGTCATGTGGCACAAAATGGGGTCAGAGGGAAGGGTCATGACCATGACACTCATTCTACTTTCTGTATCATGAGTGATAAAGGCTTTTGTCTCTGACTTAAGAGTCTTTGCCAACATCCACATAATTCTGGCAGGATAAGTTGGTTGCTTGCAGATAAACTAAAAGCTCAAGACCTTTCACAGATTTTGGAGGCAAAGAGGGGATGTAAAACATACATAACTTTCTTGAAAAAGAGAATAAAGGCCTCCATAGGCTAAGTTAGGAGATAAAAGAACACTGCCCAGGGGCAGGTAATCGGTGCTCTTACACCAGTAGTGGACAAACTAGCAAGAAGGTTCTCCCACTGTTCTACCTGTTAAGGTATGTTGACAGGTTGAGCAGGTAGAGGTGGAACTGAAACAAGCCATTCAAATGATGCTACAGGCAGGCAGGCAAATGAAGGGATGCTATCAAGACAATGGTGCAGGAAGTCCTGCAGCCCTAGTTAAAGGGAAAAGTGGTTGTAGCTGTTGAGTCAAGAAACCTCCAGCAAAAAAAAAAAAAAAAAAGAGGTGTCAACTAAGAGGATACTGTGACTTTGGTTTGGGCGGATCAAAACTAAGAAGTTTGAGTGACTTGTAGCTGCTGGAATGCTTGAAACAAAATGTTTCTTCTACTAATATCACTGATACTGTAACAGGCTAACTTGTTTTCTTGCTAAGGAGGGTAAAATCTCAGAACCTTCATTATCCTGATAATGATTAAGTATAATATCATTTAAAAATATTGTGTGTGTATCTATGTGTGTGTGTGTGTACAGAGAGAGAAGTAAAGATACATAGAAAAAGATATAGATAAATAGATATCTACAGGGAGGTTCTCTGAAATGTTAACTATGATTATCTCTGATAGAAGGAATGTGGATATGCCTTTTGGTTTATTTCTTTTTGCTGTTAATGTTGTTTGAATCTTTTACAATAAGTGTGTATCATTTTCTTCCCAACAGTTATGAAACTAAAAAATGAAGATTTCCATTTAAATATCCAATATTAATATTAATCAGCAATTGTTTAGGCAATACAGTGTGACGATAAGTTTATTTGCACTGAGGTAGAACATTATGATGGGGTATGCATCTTTCTGCCTGCGTTGAAGCTGAAATAATGCTTTATGGTTCATCTCTCTCATCTTCCATTTTGAGTGTTCCTGCACCCCATTCTCCTTGGAGGGCTTGCCTTTGTGCACCATGAGCATTAACAGCCTTGTTCTCGGCATTTCAAAGAAATGAATTGTGAATTCTCAATGAATTTGTGCCTTCCAGTCTAACAGTACTTCCCCAGGGTGTAAGAGCTGAGATTTTAACAGTTTTGCATGTCAAAGATTGGTAACTGTATATATCTGAAGTATTTTGAAAGCTTGTGGCTTCCTTTCTCCCAGCACTGCAGAAAAAAATTGACCTGAGCAAAAATTAAAGAGAGGCAGGGTTTTCTCTTGGCTTGATCTACAGGAAGAATTTGGCTGAAAAGACTCATGCTTTGACAATGAACTTGCTGGCAGTGGCATCTTAATTATGGAAAAGGCAGAAGATAATGTTAATAGCATAGACCCCCAAGCCAGTGTTCCAAGGGCACCTAATAAATCCTGAAGCCATCATTCACCACAGCCAAAATGCGAGAGCCTGTTATACCACCATGGCCAAGGCAGCATTCAGCACAGGCAACATGTCACATCAGCAGGGGAGAGAGCGCTGGGTGGAGATTTAAATTTGGGCCCCATCAGTGCTGCCAAAAGACACCAAGATACAGCTTGAAGCAAGGTGTTATGCCAACTTGACTGAGCTAAGGGATACCCAGATAGCTGGCAAAACATTATTTCTGAGTGTGTCTGTTAAGGTATTTCCGGAGGAGATTAGCATTTGAGTCAATGCACTGAGTAAGAAAGATCCACCCACCCTCACCAACACAGGCAGGCATCGTCTAATCCATTGAGGGCCTGAATAGAACAAAAAGGTGAAGGAAGGGGAATTCTTTCTCTCTGCTTGGCCTAGAACATCCATTTTCTCTGCTTCTGGCCATTGGAGCTCCTGGTTCTTGAGCCTTTGTCTTCAGGACTTATGTCAGGCCTTTGGACTCAGACTGAATTACTCCACTCCACCAGCTCTTCTGGTTCTCCAGCTTATGGATGGCAAATCATGGAACTTCTCAGCCTCTATAATCATGTAAGCCAATACCATAATAAATCTCTTACATATCTATATATCCTATTCGTTCTGTTTCTCTGGAGAATCTTGACTAATACACAAGGCAAGTCTGCAGGGTATGTGTGTGGAGAATGAACCATTTCCAAACACCTAGGAAATTCAGCA
This sequence comes from Homo sapiens, assembly GCF_000001405.40. Taxonomy (NCBI): domain Eukaryota; kingdom Metazoa; phylum Chordata; class Mammalia; order Primates; family Hominidae; genus Homo; species Homo sapiens. The sequence continues at coordinate 6,788 of NT_187530.1, read as the reverse complement.
GGATAATGGTAGAATTAACACTTTGCAAGTGTATTGAAGCAAAGCATTACGTGATCTACTTGTGAATTGCTGGTATCACCTGTATCCATAAAACTAGCCGCTAAGAATAGACAAGTGCTTTCAAAGACAAGACTGTGAATGTAAGGAATGGTATCAGTAGCAATAAAGTGAAAAGAAATGCATTGAGCTCAGGCTGGAAAGATCTTTGCAGGAAAAACAAGAATAATGATGAAAACGTTAGTTAAAATTAAAAAAAAAAAAAAAAACTTGTACGGTCTCCCAATTATACTATATAAGTTACGTACAAATCTTCACTGAACTCCAAAGCACTGCAATGAGCAATTGTAGACTCAGGGAAAATAGAAGTAGGACTTATTATGTCTCATTTTAGATAATTATAGACAACTGAAAGTCCCAGCTCAATTGTACTGACTTGGTGCAAGATTTGAGTAAAAGTTTGCAATGGTAGCTTTGACTTTGCCACTCCTCCACCATAGGGAAATCATATGTTAATGAGATCAGCAATGCGTAGTAAACAAATATCATCATGACTGAGTTAGCCAATGGCTACAGGCTTTGCCAAGTGGAGGAGAAAAGATGATGCAGCTACCCAACGTTTCAGAAGAAGAAAAAGGAATGACAAAAGGTCTAAAATGAGGTTAGATGTTTGGACTTTGCAGATTTTTAGTAACTATTTTTTTGTTTTCATTAAGATGGGTGACCATCCGGCACAAAGAGGTAAACATCCAAGCTCATATGCACTGTCAAAAGAAACACATGTGGTTTCCATTGGTTCATAAACTCCTTCTTCCTAACGTGAAAATGCTAGTGAAAGTGCCACAGCCTGAAACAATAGTAGGAGTACACCAGCACTGTGTGAGGCCCCAGCACTCATTTTAGACTTTTCAGCCTAATCTATACAAATATTTTATACTCATTAGTAGTAGCTTGTCTGCTAACACTAGTCCTGTATCATAGTATTTACATTTCACCATAACACACATGTCCACATTCTTGATTTTAATTGGGGGTGAGAGACACGTATTCCAGAAAAATTAACCTCACTTGAAGTCTCGATATATGAGGCCACGTCGCAATTTTTCCACTTCAGCTTCTACTATGTGAATTTGGACACTGGTTGAATCTCCATTTTCTACCAAAAAATAGGGACTTAAAATGTATTTCAGAGAAAATCCTAAATTAGATAATGGAAAACAAGATACTTGGCACTGTGTTTCATAAATATTGGGCATGTGTGATTGAATCTTTCTAATCTTAACCAGCATTTTGCTGAAATGGCTCATAGCCTGGTTCTGCTTTGAAAAAGCTATGAAAGGACAGGCTTTAGCCAAAGAAGATACTTTCCCTTGTTTACCTCCAGGGAGGGAGGCAGATGGGGTTACAGAGAGAAATGCAAACACATCTGATTTCGCCAGTTGCCCGCAGCCTATTGCTTCCAGCTTTCTCAGTTGTCTTCTAGGCCTTTTCCAGACAGGCCTACCCAAACATGATTAATTACCTATCTATTGCTGGCTTGCATGGGTAAGAGAGTTTGGCAGTAAGCTATGCCTGGGTTCAGAGAATAGCTTACCATTTCATATACCTGGGTGCCATGTAATTCTTTTTTTTTTTTTTTAGTAGAGTATAATTCTTTATAATTAGACTTTTACTTCTGTGTAAAAGAATAGCCACTTACACCTCTTTCACTGTGCAGTTGCTTTAATTACACATAAATACTGACAGCCTATAAAGAAGTACATTCCTTTAGGCACTGTGCTTAGGCAAATTTCTTAATCTCTCATAGACCCTAGGCTGAGCTATTCTACAGGAACTTTATGAGAATTTCATAGATATTTTAAGAATAACTTAAAATGTATAAAGCGATATAAGAGTAGGGAACATTATTAAAGAGTTCTTTTCTCACTCGCTGTGCCGGTCATGTTTGCTTTTCCTTTACCTAGTAATTAATCATCCAGGATTATTTTCCTTGCCTTTCCATGATCTATCCTTCCACATCTGTTTATGTGAAATAGTTACCAAAAAGCCTTTGTATTCGTGAAAATGACCCTGAGGGCTCTAATTTGTATGGGCATTTGCTCAGCACTTCCGTGTGAACTAAATAGAAGTGGGAAGCAATCATAAATGATTTAATGTAAATTGTTTTGGGAACTGATAGATCACTATTTATTATCCTGTTTGCACTTGTAGATGTGTAATACAAAGGAGAGCGAATTTCCCTTGTAGATTAATGAAGGTAGCAACAGAGATTCTAATTTCCCAAGTGAAATACTTTTTACATAGTGGTAGCTTTGGGAGACAGGTCTGAACCTCATTAAACTTACTGTGTGTTATACACGGACGACCTAATTCAATTTTTGTAAAAACAGGCAAATAGGCCGTCAATGTAAATTAAATCCAAAGGCAAACAAGGTCACTGTGCTACTATGTTACATGAGCATTTGTCTCATAAATGGAAAAGTAAATTAAACTGTTAATTTCACTAGCAATATTAGAAAAACAAGCCCCAATCTGTAGGCGTCAAAAAGAGAAGAGTGTTTTTCTCCATATGAATTATAATATTTTCCAAACTGCCTCTTCTGAGGTTTACACTTCATCTGTAGTCCCTCCCTTTTAAAACTAGATTTTTCATAATTTCCATTTTGTCATCACTAAAAATTTTCTAATTTATCTTTGAATCTCCAGGTAACCTTTTCTGAACTCTTAGTGTTTTCCTCATCATGACCAGGGATGTGCAGAATATGTCACTGCCACCCCCCTAGTCAGTATCTCTCAGAATTCTTTAAAGCTTTCACAATAAAACTGAGGCCATGCAAGGACCACCAGGACTGAGCACCAACCTGATGTCCTCTTACCCAGCTCTTATCTCTGTCCACCCTGTCCCTCCCCATCAAACATCCTGAATTTCAGTCACATTGAGCTACTTAGAAGTATTTGATGTATGTCAATGTGTCTTTTTTGCACTTGTAAATCTTGTCTGACATTTTTTCCAAGTTCTCTTTTCAAACAAGAGAATAATAATGCATCTTTCAAGATTCAAACAGTCTATGCAGCCTTGACCATGCGCCCTTCCTCCATGGAGGAATTTACTTGCTTTGTGGCCCTTTGCTCCCAGTATAAAATTGTGTCATTGCACTATTAGAGTTTCCACACCTTCTTCCACATCACTTTAATGTCTTCCTTATCTTTGTTTTGCCAATATGAAGCACACTGCCTGGTCCAAAGTATGTGCTCAATACACTGTTCGATAAGTATTAAATGAACAAAATCTGATATATACAAGGGAAGTAATAGGTGATCATTTTCAGTTTATAAGCTCTCAATCACTAAAGTAAGTTTCATCACAACCCCAATTCTTGTCAGGGAAGCAATGGCCCTGCCATGGCATCCTAGAGACTTTGGCTATGTCGCCACATAGGCAAAGAGTGGAACCACGGCTTTTGCGAGTCCCAACAGCATATTTTGTGATACTCCATGGACACCAGAGGATGGGTGGCCTGCGAAGAACTGCAAAGGGCATCTCCCACTTGCTTTCTTATCTTCCCTTGTGGAATATCATGAGATAGTTTTGGTTCTTTCTGCTTCATTCCCCTTAGAATAGAGCTACTGATTTAGAACCATTTAGCCACTGTCTAGATTTGGCTCCACAATTAATGGAGGTATCCTACAATTCACGGGGCAGTAACCTTTTGTGTTATAGAATGCTTTTTGGTGTGTAGGACAAGGACCACAAGGGAGCACTTTTTTTCTGTGTTTTTTTTTTCTCCATTGTGTAAATAATAAAATGTTCATAACTGAAAGTGGCTCTTATCTTTATAGGTCAAATCTGTCAGACTTTGGCCTTTCCTTATCTTGAAACTTGATGATAATTACACATATCATTTCTCTTAGTTATATTCTTTTTTCTTCTTTTCTCCAGGTTTTCTTTTTTCTTTCTTTCCTTTTTCTTTCTCTCATTTCTTTCTTTCTCTGTCTCTCTGTCTGTCTGTCTTCACACTGTAGTTTAGACTACAGTGCTGTTCAGATTACGTATGCTTAGTATTCAGAAACCGTATTTCCTTAATTTTTTAAGGTTATCAAATGAAACTCTTACCACTTTGTGTGTGTGTGTAGGAGCAATGTTAGAAAAACAGGCCCCAAGATGTAGTCAAAAAGAGAAGAGTGTTTTCTCCATGTGAATTACATGACAAGAAAAGATACTAGAGAATAATAATTTGTTGTTTATAGGCAACATCCATATATTTCTGTTTACACCTTGGCATTACTCTTGTTTTCTCTACCCTGACAAAGGAACCTCCATTTAAGAAATAAGCCATAAATATTACTTAAATATCGCAGCAGCCATGAGATTGCCTCACTATAGATAATTATCTGAAGCATTCAGTATTACAAAAAAAAAAAGGAAAAAAAAAGTTTGCAGGGTACTGATCACATGAGACATAAGGAGAACAGAAGGTCCCCAGGGTACCAAACATTCTTTAATAGTTGTTTTATTTTTCTTTTTCATTGAATACTGAAACTAAAGCAAAATTAAAAATTGTTACTTTGAAGTCAATTCATTCTCCAAGCATCAGAAATTATTTCTTAATCACTCAGCTACAGTCTTTCCTTTCATAAAATGAGGCTAATAATACCAAATTCATTGTTTTGTGAAGGGAAGTAATTACATCACAACAGTAACCAGAAATTAAGCCATCTTAATTTTAAGTAATGAGATTACTTTCAGTATCTCTCTAATCAGTAATGAAAAGGAACACTAAGTCCCAATGAGAATTCACACATCCTGGCTCTTTTATTTGTCTCATGTGAATGCCCAAAAGGCTATGAAAGCCTCCTTTGCAGATGACCACTGGCAATCTATTCTGGAAGGTATCTATGGCACATCAGTTCAGGCTTTGTGAGACCTAAAATAACCTGAACAAGTATTTGACAGCTGCCCCAGAAAGACTAGAATAATGAAAGCAGCTTCAGAAGGTCTTTATTCAAAAGAGGTAATTCAACCTGGGTATTGAGGTACAATAAAGGAATTTTGACCTTCCTTTCCCTCAGAAGTATGGTCCTTAAATTCTTATTTGTTTTGCTCTGCTGTCATTTTTATAAAAAAATAAATATTGCAAAGGAGATAGGTAACAAAATTCATAAAGCAAATATCACTCTTCTAAACATTCATCTTCATAAATAGTTTGCATAAAGGAAGCTATCTCTCCAGTAGTTTGTCCCCTTATAATTAATTTGGTCTCTCATTACCAGTTTGGCAACCGAGATCATTCCAGTTGTTACCACTGGTGGTTCCAGTTGAGTTAACTCATGGATTCTAGAGATATATATGCAAATGCCTATAACCTTATGTATTTCTGTGTTGTATACCATTTTTACATGAGTGCTTCTTCCAACTGCATTACTAACTGAGAGGACAAACTCCACCCTACAAATTCTTATCTTTTATGTGGATCACACACTGCTGAATAAATGCCACTGACTTTGGGCCCTTTTTGATTTTCATGCTAACATAGGTAGGCTGTTCATGCCCAATTATGGCAAAGATATGCCATGCACAGTAAGATATGATCAAGTAAATTATGAAACTATTAAACAATAATGTGCATGATGATCATTTTAGGCTTTCAGACAATACCACTGGGGAAGGGGTAATGAGGATTTGGAAAAGTAAGTCAACAAGTACAATTCACATCATGCAAACCAGACAGGCACTTATTCTATTCATGCAAAGCCAACTGGTAAGCTTTATTATTGTCATATGTGAAATGTATATCTTAATCTCATTTTATTCCACAATAAACTATCCCAACAGCCAGCAAATCCCAGCAGCAGTATGTTTTCAATTGGTGACATGTCTTGTGACAAGGGGTTAGTTTCCTTTGTCAGTCTTTTGAAGGCAGGTTTTCCACTAGAGTAGGAATTGTGTAATGCAGAACATACTTCTTAAACTGGTCAAATGATTTAATAAAATGTCTGTAAAATCAGTTTAATAGAAATCCTTTAACTCCCACCAGTGTAAGTAGAAGGTTTAATGACTCCAAGATCAACTTCAAACTCTAATTTCAGCCTCTGATTCCAAGACTGGCTCACTGGAAAGAGAGCTGGCATCTTCTCATGTGGAACTGACTTGGTGCATCAATGCCCAGTGCCTGTGGCCACTGCGTCTGCAATCTGTCTTGTGGAATGACATATGCTGGGCCTCAGGTGAATCACATTGGACAACTTACAGAAAATGTTGAGAGCAAGAGAAATGATTGCTGTCTTTTAGAATTTGTCAAAACAGGAGATACTAATTTCAATATCTTATAATTTTTGAACAAACCCAGCAGTACAGCTATTTCCTTTCCTGTGCTCAGGGAGGCTGAGATGCCAATGCTCAGTTGCTGCTATTCTTCTTCAATGAAGACCTTGAAACTGACCTGACTCACCCTTATCCATCTTCCCATAGCAGTTATTCCATTCACTCTGGGCACAGGCTACTGAATATTTTTATTTAATTTTAAAATAGACTGTATTATTATTTACCCAAGGAGATAATGATTTTCTCCTGGACCTTAATTAGGTATTAAAGACCTATGTTTGGTGGGGTGGGGCCAAGATAGCCATCTAGAAAGAGCAGTGTTTGGAGGCTCTCATTGAAAAGAACCATAATAATAAGCTTGTGAATAATAACAATAAGCATGTGAATAATAATAAGCATGTGAATCCTTCACCAGCAACTAAGGTATCCAGATTCTCTCATCAGAACTGACTAGGAGGCTGGTGTGATC
>NT_187531.1:0-138019 GCF_000001405.40 Homo sapiens | reverse complement strand
ATCCAGGATTCTAGGAAAAGCTAGTGGCCGAGTCATGGCCCAAAACCAGGTCCCCAATTTGTACTGTACACTGACCACTTTCAGTGTTTTGCATGATCACTAACATCTGGCTAACACACATTTCGTCAGGATTCCACAGTCAACAAAGAGTAATTGGGCTGAGATTATAATCGTTCAGTCGATTTTTCTTGGTTCCCTTACCTTATACTGTCTTCTTTCTTCGTGCTCATCTCCTCCACAAAGCCACTAATCCCTAAAACTGGCTGCTTAGCATTTGCATCTGAGATTAGTTAAAGTGATAGGCATCAGGACTCTACTTAAACCTAGTACATAGGAATCTTAGGGGAAGACCCAGCTGTCTTTAATTTTAACAAAGCTATGGTGATGCATGGTAAGTTTGGGGACTTGTTACATAAGATACAGCTCCTAGAAAGCAGGGACACATTCTTCATCTTACAACCTAATGTCCAGGACAAGGTAGACCTCAGTAAGTATTTTATATATTAATGATTAAATTAATTGGCCTCAAATCATGAGAGAGCAAGCAGCAACAAGAGATTTAGACATTTGAAATAAAAAGAGAAAAAAAGAAAAAAATATGGAACTCTCAAGAGGGAGGGAATGTTAAAGGTCATTTAGTTCAATACTCACAGTTGAGATACTGAGGGAAATGAGACCTAGGAAATTAACCACTTCTGCCATAACCAAACAAGTAATCAGACCACTGTAACTAAAAGTCAGGTCACTGGATTTTTAGCTCTTGAGGAAAGAGTGGAATTGAAATGTACTAGGGTAGGCCAATGGTTGTCAAGGCTGATTTCAGGAGCAGCAGCAGCGGCAGCGGCAGCGGCAGCGGCAGCGGCAGCAGCAGCAGCAGCAGCAGCATCTGGGACCCTGATAAAATGCACATTCCTTTTTGTTGTTGTTTAATAAAACTAATGTTTTCAAGTCTGCTTTTATTAAAACACAATAAATACCATCAGTTTTTGAGATGAAATTTCATTACATACTGTAAATATTTATCATTTTCTTTTTTTTTAATTTTATTATTATGATACTTTAAGTTTTAGGGTACGTGTGCACAACGTACAGGTTTGTTACATATGTATACATGTGCCATGTTGGTGTGCTGCACCCATTAACTCATCATTTAGCATTAGGTATATCTCCTAATGCTATCCCTCCCTCCTCCCCCCACCCCACAACAGGCCCCGGTGTGTGATGTTCCCCTTCCTGTGTCCATGTGTTCTCATTGTTCAATTCCCACCTATGAGTGAGAACATGGGGTGTTTGGTTTTTTGTCCTTGCGATAGTTTGCTGAGAATGATGGTTTCCAGCTTCATCCATGTCCCCACAAAGGACATGAACTCATCCTTTTTTGTGGCTGCATAGTATTCCATGGTGTATGTGTACCACATTTTCTTAACCCAGTCTATCGTTGTTGGACATTTAGGATGGTTTCAAGTCTTTGCTACTGTGAATAGTGCCGCTATAAACATAGAAGTGCATGTGTCTTTATAGCAGCATGATTTATAATCCTTTGGGTATATACCCAGTAATGGGATGGCTGGGTCAAATGGTATTTCTAGTTCTAGATCCCTTAGGAATAGCCACACTGACTTCCACAATGGTTGAACTAGTTTACAGTCCCACCAACAGTGTAAAAGTGTTCCTATTTCTCCACATCCTCTCCACCACCTGTTGTTTCCTGACTTTTAAATGATTGCCATTCTAACTCCTGTGAGATGGTATCTCATTGTGGTTTTGATTTGCATTGCTCTGATGGCCAGTGATGATGAGCATTTTTTCATGTGTCTTTTGGCTGCATAAATGTCTTCTTTTCAGAAGTGTCTGTTCATATCTTTTGCCCACTTGTTGATGGGTTTGTTTTTTTCTTGTAAATTCGTTTGAGTTCATTGTAGAGTCTGGATATTAGCCCTTTGTCAGATGAGTAGGTTGCGAAAACTTTCTCCCATTCTGTAGGTTGCCTGTTCACTCTGATGGTAGTTTCTTTTGCTGTGCAGAAGCTCTTTAGTTTAATTAGATCCCATTTGTCAATTGTGGCTTTTGTTGCCATTGCTTTTGGTGTTTTAGACATGAAGTCCTTGCCCATGTCTATGTCCTGAATAGTATTGCCTAGGTTTTCTTCTAAGGTTTTTATGGTTTTAGGTCTAATATTTACGTGTTAAATTCATCTTGAATTAATTTTTGTATAAGGTGTAAGGAAGGGATCCAGTTTCAGCTTTCTACATATGGCTAGCCAGTTTTCCCAGCTCCATTTATTAAATAGGGAATCTTTTCCCCATTGCTTGTTTTTGTCAGGTTTGTCAAAGATCAGACAGTTGTAGATATGTGGCATTATTTCTGAGGGCTCTGTTCTGTTCCTTTGGTCTATATATCTGTTTTGGTACCAGTACCATGCTGTTTTGGTTACTGTAGCCTTGTAATATAGTTTGAAGTCAGGTAGCATGATGCCTCCAGCTTTGTTCTTTCGGCTTAGGATTGACTTGGCGATGCAGGCTCTTTTTTGGTTCCAGATGAACTTTAAAGTAGTTTTTTCCAATTCTGTGAAGAAAGTCATTGGTAGCTTGATGGGGATGGCATTGAATCTATAAATTACCTTGGGCAGTATGGCCATTTTCATGATATTGATTCTTCCTATCCATGAGCATGGAATATTCTTCCATTTGTTTGTATCCTCTTTTATTTCATTGAGCAGTGGTTTGTAGTTCTCCTTGAAGAGGTCCTTCACATCTCTTGTAAGTTGGATTCCTAGGTATTTTATTCTCTTTGAAGCAATTGTGAATGGGAGTTCACTCATGATTTGGCTCTCTGTTTGTCTGTTATTGGTGTATAAGAATGCTTGTGATTTTTGTACATTGATTTTGTATCCTGAGACTTTGCTGAAGTTGCTTATCAGCTTGAGGAGATTTTGGGCTGAGACAATGGGGTTTTCTAGATATACAATCATGTCATCTGCAAACAGGGACAATTTGACTTCCTCTTTTCCTAATTGAATACCCTTTATTTCCTTCTCCTGCCTAATTGCCCTGGCCAGAACTTCCAACACTATGCTGAATAGGAGTGGTGAGAGAGGGCATCCCTGTCTTGTGCCTGTTATCAAAGAGAATGCTTCCAGTTTTTGCCTATTCAGTATGATATTGGCTGTGGGTTTGTCATAGATAGCTCTTATTATTTTGAGATATGTCCCATCAATACCCAATTTATTGAGAGTTTTTAGCATGAAGTGTTGTTGAATTTTGTCAAAGGCCTTTTCTGCATCTATTGAGATAATCATGTGGTTTTTGTCTGTGGTTCTGTTTATATGCTGGATTACATTTATTGATTTGTGTATGTTGAACCAGCCTTGCATCCCAGGGATGAAGCCCACTTGATCATGGTGGATAAGCTTTTTGATGTGCTGCTGGATTCGGTTTGCCAGTATTTTATTGAGGATTTTTGCATCAGTGTTCATCAAGGCTATTGGTCTAAAATTCTCTCTTTTGGTGGTGTCTCTGCCAGGCTTTGGTATCAGGATGATGCTGGCCTCATAAAATGAGTTAGGGAGGATTCCCTCTTTTTCTATTGACTGGAATAGTTTCAGAAGGAATGGTACCAGCTCCTCTTTGTACCTCTGGTAGAATTCGGCTGTGAATCTGTCCCGTCCTGGAGTTTTTTTGGTTGGTAAGCTATTGATTATTGCCTCAATTTCAGAGCCTGTTATTGGTCTATTCAGAGATTCAACTTCTTTCTGGTTTAGTCTTGGAAGGATGTATGTGTCAAGGAATTTATCCATTTCTTCTAGATTTTCTAGTTTATTTGCGTAGAGGTGTTTGTAGTATTCTCTGATGGTAGTTTGTATTTCTGTGGGATCGGTGGTGATATCCCCTTTATCATTTTTTATTGCATCTATTTGATTCTTCTCTCTTTTCTTCTTTATTAGTCTTGCTAGTGGTCTATCAATTTTGTTGATCTTTTCAAAAAACCAGCTCCTGGATTCATTAATTTTTTGAAGGGTTTTTTGTGTCTCTATTTCCTTCAGTTCTGCTCTGATCTTGGTTATTTCTTGCCTTCTGCTAGCTTTTGAATGTGTTTGCTCTTGCTTTTCTAGTTCTTTTAATTGTGATGTTAGGGTGTCAATTTTGGATCTTTCCTGCTTTCTCTTGTGGGCATTTAGTGCTATAAATTTCCCTCTACACACTGCTTTGAATGTGTCCCAGAGATTCTGGTATGTTGTGTCTTTCTTCTCGTTGGTTTCAAAGAACATCTTTATTTCTGCCTTCATTTCATTATTTACCCAGTAGTCATTCAGGAGCAGGTTGTTCAGTTTCCATGTAGTTGAGCGGTTTTGAGTGAGTTTCTTAATCCTGAGTTCTAGTTTGATTGCACTGTGGTCTGAGAGTTTATAATTTCTGTTCTTTTACATTTGCTGAGGAGTGCTTTACTTCCAACTATGTGGTCAATTTTTATGCACCACAGCCAACCTACTGAATCAGAAACACTGTGACAGGACCCAGTGATCTCTTTCAACAACCTTCAGGTGATTCTGAAACATACTTAAGTTTGAGGACCACTGATCTGGGCAAATGAATCTTCCTTATCCACATGTTTTAAAAGTCATTCTTATAATGTTTTATTTAAATCTGCTGAAACAAAAGTTCATTCTCAATTATATTTTAGAAACAACCCAAGGTAATATATCTTTGAGGGTAGATGAATAGAAATTACTTGGGAGCAAATATCCTACTTTATTGTACCTTTCCTCATTTAAAGTTTGTTTCTTCTTTTGGGATCTCCATTTATGCAAGTATATATGAGATTCCCATAAATTCCACAGTTGTGGTTTTTTTTCATTGTAGTATTCAAATGACCATCAAGCTCAAATTCTTATAGATACTTATCTATTGACTAGGTTACAAGAGTTTTCCCCCTGTAACCTCAACCTTTCCATTTTATTTCTCATTGTTCAAGTCTTTGATTGTGATTATGCTTAAAAAAACTGAGAGGCCATTGTTTTGGACTGAGATCCTGCACTAGGATCCCATAGAACAAACTGATACATTATAGAGTCAATTGTGTTAGATGCCATGTAATCAAGCTGAACTTAGAAACAGGACAATTTTCCTAAAAACAAGAAATTTGCAGTAACCAATCATAAGGGGTTCAGTTGATCTGAGTCTACACGTTAAGAAAGTTCCCACTGTTTTAACCCTATAAGGAAGGTAACCTGATGTTGACCAATCCACCTTTTGCACTCTGCTATTCCCTTGTTCCTACTCAGCTTACCTTACAAAAACCAACTGTTCTGCCACACACAGCAGAGTACCTTTCTGTTTTTTAGATAGGATGCTGTTTAATTCATGAATCGCTAATTAAAGACAATTACAATTATTAAACTCAGTTTGTTGAGTTTTTGGTTGACAGTTCATAGTATATACTTTGGAAGTAAAGAGTTTTGAGTTTAAATTCTAGCCACAACATTTATTAGCGATGTGACCTGGAAAATTACTTAACCATTAAATATCTCTTAAGATACTTAAAATAAATATTTAATATTAGCAGATTTTTAAAAATGATATGTCTATCTTCAGTATTTGATATATAGTAAAATTTAGTATATTTTAGCTGGTTCAACTGTAGAAAATCTAGAATTTTCATTATTGAAAACATAATTATCCTTTGATTTTCATACTTTCTTTTGTCAAAGAAGGCCCACCCTACCCCTGTAATATACAAATACCTTTCTTATGGGCTATCTCAGTCATGTATCTCCCGGCTATCAATTATATTCATCAATGATATCCTTCTGTCCTTAGCTGGACACAGTGGCCCATGACTGTAGTCCTAGCACTTTGGGAGGCCAAGGCAGGTGGATTACCTGAAGTCAGGAGTTCAAGACCAGCCTGGCCAACATTGTGAACTCCTCTCTCTACTAAAAATACAAAAATTAGCAGGACATGGTGGTGTGTGCCTATAATCCCAGCTACCCAGGAGCCTGAAGCAGGACAATCTCTGGAACCTGGGAGGAGGAGGCTTCAGTTAGCCGATATTATGCCACTGCACTCCAGCCTGGGCGACAGAGTGAGACTCCATCTCAAAAAAAAAAAAAAAAAAAAAAAAAAAAAAAAAAAAAATCCTTCTGTCCTTAAATTCTCATTGCTTCCATTTCTACCACTGAAGTGAAATCATAATTCTTCTTTTTTGAACATTTTTACAACCACATTATTTTATTTTTCCATTGATGCCTGAAACAATCTTCATAAGTCTTATTTTAAAGGTAAAAACAATACTTCTATATTGGCTAATTAATTTCATATCAGTTGAATATACAGTTAAAAATTATAATATCTAAAATACTATTTTTTTTTGAGACAAAAATCTCACTGTGCAGCCCAGGCTGGAGTGCAGTGGTGTGATCTCGGCTCACTGCAACCTTCGCCCCCCAGGTTCAAGGGATTCTCCTGCCTCAGCCTCCTGAGTAGCTGGGATTACAGGCATGCACCACCATGCCCGGATAATTTTTGTATTTTTAGTAGAGATGGGGTTTTACCATGTTGATCAGACTGGTCTTGAACTCCTGACCTCATGATCTGCCCACCTTGGCCTCCCAAAGTGCTGGGATTACAGATGTGAGCCAACGTGCCAGGCCTAAAATACTATTTCTAAATTAGAGCTGTGTGGATATGGTCTTCATAGTCTGTGAGTTAAATAAATTTTTAATCTTGTTATGACAATCTAAAAATAATACTATAGTTTTTATCCCAGAAATGCAAAATGGGGTCAACATTTGAGAATGGATCACTACAATTCACAATATTAACAAGCTAAAAACAAACTATATGGTGATCTCAAAAGGTACAGGGAAAGCTTTTCATAAGATTCAACATTTATTCATGACAAAATTGTCAAAAAGTAGCAACAGAAAGGCACTTCCTCAACTTGATATAAAGGCATTTACACACAAGCTACAGTTAACATCATACTTAAAGAAAAAAGACTGAATACTTCTTCCTAATAATGTGTAACAAGGCAACTTTGTACAAAGGATCTAGCTAAGACAATCAGACAAGGAAAAAAATAAAAGTTATCCAGTTTGGGAAAAAAGAAGTAAAATTTTTGTTATTTGCAAACAACTTGATCATTGATTTGGAAAACCCTAAATAGTTTACCAAAGTTATAGAAACTAATATATGAATTCAGGGACATTACAGTATACAAGGTCAATATATACAATCAATTAACTGTATTTCTATATACTAGTGTTAAAAAAATTACTCATCACACTTGTTGAAGAATGGTAAAGCCGACTTTGTTCAGAACCATCAGGATGGGTACAGGGAGTACTGCAATGGGGTTTTGCAGTAGAGGAAAGAGATTCTGCTCAACTCTAAATACAACAGAGAAAAGTGAAAATGTATAGTCAAGAAGCAAGGTGGAAAATTATTAAGAGGAAATATCAGGGCACAAGGGATTCTTATTAGATCAATCATTGCTGCAACAGGACAGGGTGATCAGCAGACATCCACCTCGGAGATGGTGGCAGATGAGGAACTGGATACCAAGCATGATGAGATATTGAGGATGGGGAAACTGACTAACTCAGTAGGATTCTTGCTAAATTTGGACAACAAAAAGACAAATACAGAAGCTCAAATGTTAGAGGCTAGTTGAGATGAGAGTACAGGGGAGCCTGAGTAGAGTATGGTCAAGGAAAGAATCTCTGTCACTAGTAATGAAAAATTTAAAGTTGTAATTTGAAAAGATCCATTTATTGTTGCACTATAACCAAACAAACTTTGGTATAATTCTTATAAGACTTGTGCAAGATATATACAGTGAGGGCAACAAAACATTGATGAAAGAAAAAAAATCTGCATACATTGTGAGCTATATGATGTTCACAGTTTGGAAGACTCAGCATTGTTACATGTTTTCCCCAAAATTGATCTATAGATTCAGTGCAACTTCCATCAAAATTTCACCAAAATTTTACCAAGATTTGCGTAGAAATAGCCAAGCTTATTTTAAAATTTATATAAAAAAATTACAGTAGCTAAAGTTTAGAACAATAAATTTAAAAAAGTATATTACCTGAAGACCCAGACTACCTTACTATAAAGCTCTAAGTGTAGCTTTTTAATAAAATTCCAAGTAAATCAATAAAACAGACTGAATCATAGATGAATAATTGATTATCAATAAAATAAAGATAGCAAGGCAAATGGAAAGAGAAAAGATGGTCTTTTCAGTGAATAGTGCCCTAAGTAAGAAAACAAAAAAACATGTTATAAAAAAAATATGTTTCTATTTCACATGACATACAAAAAGTTACTTAAAGTTAAGAATAGACTTACAAGTCAAACCAAAAATTCTAACACTTCAAGAATTAAACATAAGAGAAAAACCTTTGTTACCTTATTAAGGAGAGGTTTAGGTATAACCGAAAAAGCATGATCCATACATTTTAGGGCTTTTTTCCATTTGTGTTTCATTTCGGGTACTTTCAATTGCTGTTTCTTCAAGTTCACTAATCTTTTCTTTTACATTGTCAAATCTTCTAACAGTTCCATTCAGTGTCTTCATCTCAGGCATGAAAGTTTTTCATTTCTAAAAGTTTGATTTGAGTATTTTTATAACATTTATTTATTGAACCACTTCTGTATTCTACTTCTTGAACATGTGGAATACAATTATTAAAACAAATTATTTTAATGTATTTGCCTAGTAATTCAGTAATTTTCTTTATATCAATTGACTTTTCTCTTCATTGTAGGTCAAATTTTCCTGCTTCTTTACATTACTGATTTGATTTTGAGAAGTTTAGTTTGTTGGGTTTTTGATGCTTTTTATTTCCTTAAATATACCTGTCCATTGTTCTATGACGCAGTTTAATTACCTGGAAACAGCTTAATTCTTCCAAAGCTTCCTTTAACCTCTCTTAAGCAGGATACAAATAGCCTTTTGTCTAAGGCTAACTTTATCTACACTGAATATACTTCAAAGTAATTATACCCTACCAGTTATGAGATTTTCTACTCTGATCACTGGAAAAAGACATTTTCTTCCCTTGTATAGTGCTAATAATTATTTCTCCTACAAAATTTAACTCAAAATAGATCAGGGATATAAATGTAAGAACTAAAACCATAAAACTCTTAGAAGAAGACATAGGGATAAATGTTTATTACCTTGGGTTTGACAATGGAATCGTAGGACACTAAAAGCATGAGTAACAAAACAAAAAATAGGTGAGTTGTACTTCATCAAAATTAAAAACATTTGTGCATAATATAAAAAGATAACCTATAGAGTGGTAAAGAATATTTGCAAATCATACATCTGATAAGGATCTAGTACCTAGAATATATAAATAATGTTTACAATTAAAAAACAAAAATACTCCCAAATCAATAATAGGCAAAGTACATGAATAAACATTTTCTTCAAATAAGGTATGCAAATAGTCAATAGGCACACAAAAAACTTGCTCAACATTATTAGTCATTAAGGAAATGTAAGTCAAAACCACAAGAGGGATCATTTTATACCCTTTGGATGGCCATAAAGAAAGAGACAGACCCAGCACTTTGGGAGGCCGAGGCGGGCCAATCACGAGGTCAAGAGACCAAGATCATCCTGACCAAACGGTGAAACCCTGCCCTACCAAAAATACAAAAATTAGCTGGGCATGGTGGTGTGCAGCCTATAGTCCCAGCTACTTGGGAGGCTAAAGCAGAGAACTGCTTGAATCCGGGAGGCAGAAGTTGCAGTGAGCCAAGATCACGCCACTGCACTCCAACTGCTGACAGAGTGAGACTCCATCTCAAAAAAAAAAAAAGAAAAGAAAAGAAAAAGACAAGAAAGAGACAGAGAGCGCACATGTGCAAGAGAGAGCCACAGACTGAAAGAGGGGAGGGAGGTAGGGAGGGGAGGGAGGCAGGGGGAAAAGGAAGGAGGGAGGGAGGGAGGGAAGGAGGGAAGGAAGGAAGGAAGGAAGGAAGGAAGGAAGGAAGGAAGGAAGGAGGGAGGGAAGACTGCTGGCAAGGATGTGGAGAAATTCACACACTAGTACCTTACTGGTAGGAATGTAAAATTGTTCAGCCATTGTAGAAAACATTTTGCAGCCCTCAAAAGGTAAAACATAGGTCAGGCATGGTGGCTGATGCCTGTAATCCCAATGTTTTGGGAGGCCGAGGTGGGAGGATTGCTTGAGGCCAGGAGTTTGAGACCAGACTGAGAAACACAGTGAGACCCTGTCTCTACAAAACAATTTTTAAAAATTAGCTGGGTGTGGTGGCATGTACTTGCAGTCCAAGCTACTCTGAAGGCTGAAGTGGGAGGATTGCTTGAGCCCAGGAGTCAGAGGTTACAGTGAGTTAATGATTGCACCTCTGCACTCCAGCATGAGTGACAGTGAGACCTTGTCTCTTAAAAAAAAAAAAAAAAAATGAAAAGGCCAGCACAGTGGCTCACGCCTGTAATCCCAGCACTTTGGGAGGCCAAGGCAGGTGGATCACAAGGTCAGGAGATCGAGAGAATCCTGGCAAACATGGTGAAACCCCGTCTCTACTAAAAATACAAAAATTAGCCAGGCGTGGTGGCGGGCGCCTGTAGTCCCAGCTACTTGGGAGGCTGAGGCAGGAGAATGGTGTGAACCCGGGAGGCAGAGCTTGCAGTGAGCCGAAATCGTGCCACTGCACTCCAGCCTGGGCGACAGAGCAAGACTGTCTCAAAAAAAAAAAAAAAAAAAAAAAAAGAATACCATAGAATTACCATATGACCCAGCAATTATAGCCAAAAATAATTGAGACGAGGTACTTAAACAAGTGCATGTATACACACATTGATAATAGCATTATTCACAATAGCCAGAAGATGGAAACAGCCCATGTATTCATCCCCAGATGAACAGATAAAAGTTGGTATATACATACAGTAGAATATAATTCAGCCACAAAAAGGAATGAAGTACTGATACAAGCTACAATGTGAATGAACCTTAAAAACATTATGGTAAGTGAAAGAAGTCAGACACAAAAGGCCACATATTATTAGATTCCATTTATGTGAAATAGCTAGAATAGGAAAATCTGTGGGAACAGAAAGCATACTGGTAGTTGCCAGGAGTTGGGGGTGGGAAAGGCAGAATGGGAAGTAACAGTTTAATGGGTACGAGGTTTTTTATGGAGGGGAATAAAAATATTTTGGAACCAAATAGGGGTGGTGATTGTGCAACACTGTGAAAGTGGTAAATGCCACTGAATTAGTCACTCTAAATGGTGAATTTTATGTTGTGGGAATTTCACCTCAATAATAATAATAATAATAATAATAATAATAATGAAGAAGAAGAAGAAAGAAGAAGAAGAAGAAAGAAGAAAGAAGAAAGAAGAAAGAAGAAATCATTCCCTCTAAACTTTTTGGAGTGGGTCTTTTCTCAGCTTTAGTGATTGTCTTACCTGCATGCACTGATCAGTACTCAGGTAAAGATGCCAGGGTTATCCTCTGCAGATCTCTCTTCTCTTACACTGCTGTAATCTCTACCTGCTGTGCCTCACTTTAGATTCTCTGCTCCATCTTCTTTCCTTTCCTTTCCTTTTTCCTTCCTTCCCTCCCTCCCTCCCTCCCTCCCTTCCTTCCTTCCCTCCTTCCTCAGGGAGACTGGAGTTTTATTATTACTCAAATCAGTCTCTCCAAGCATTTGGGGAGCAGAGTTTTTAAGGATAACTTGGTGGTTGGGGGGAAGCTAGTGAGCCGGGAGTGCTGATTGGTCAGAGATGAAATCATAGGGAGTCAGAGCTGTCTTCTCGTGCTGAGTCAGTTCCTGGGTGGGGGCCACAAGATCAGATGACCCAGTTTATTGATCTGGGTGGTGCCAGCTAATCCATCAAGTGCAGAGTCTGCAAAATATCTCAAGTAATGATCTTAGGAGCAGTTCAGGGAGGGTCAGAATCTTGAAGCATCCAGCTGCATGACTCCTAAACCATAATTTCCAATCTTGTGGGTAATGTTAGTCCTACAAAGGCAATCTAGTACCATCTTTAAACAAGAGCTACCTCTGACCTCCACCTGGAATCCTAATACTTATCATTTAGTTTGCAAACTCCCCCTAGGTAATAAACTGGGAAATCGTGGGCTCACCTCACTGATATCCTCTGTCAAAAGTGTCATTGTCCTGCATTTCTCAATGCCCAAAGCCTAAAAATGATTGTAATACATGTATTGTCCAGTGTTAGCTGTTTTGTGTCTGTTATCCTATTGTGGCCAGAAAGAGAGGTCAGAATTTGCCTTTTAATGAAGTGTTCTCAACTTAGGTTTTACATATTTGTTCTCAAGTTTGAATTTTATAAACATATACATATGTACTTAGGCACACATACACATACAGATATATTTCTCCCTTAGAAGATATCATGTACTACTTAAGCATGAGAAAAACTGATCTAAATCTTCCTGAAGAGAAGTGTACATGCATATGATCACTATAACATTTCTAATTTTATTTTATTCACTGTAGCAACAGGAATTTCCAGCACCATAAGGCTCTTATCTCAATGAGTACCATCCTGAAGCTCTTCTCAGAGCACAAATGTTGCTGTCTAATTAGATACCACAGCCAAGAGTGGAAGAAAATAGGAAATACACCTGTCCATGCAACCTATTAATGATGCTTAGCCTTTAATTCTAATGGGTATACGATTTCCATGGGTTGTTTGATATTCCAAGGGGATTAGACTGACAAGAACAAAACTTTTCTAATGATATATCTTGACAAGGAACCACCACTAACAACAAAGGAAACCCATATATCAAGAGAAAGGATACCATTTTTTAAAAAAAGAATGTTCACTGGGCAAAACAGATTTGATTAGCTGGTTCTACTCAATGTGTGGATGGAATAGAGAGCCATGCATTCTAAGCTAAAGCGTCACATGTACCTATATTCTATCTTTTTTAAAGTAATTGCTTTTAAGGAATTTATTTTAGAGGATTGCTTTTTAAATGAAGAATGGCATGTCAGTCCTGAAAGTATGTTTTGTGGTTGTGTTATTCCTGTTCTGAAAATTATTTGCTTCATAATCTCAGCTCACTTTTTATGATCCTGGAGCAATTTATAGGAAAAATAGTTATCAATCAACTGGTTTCAGAGTAGAATGTGAAAAGGAAACTTCTATTAATATGTCCCATGCTGGCAACCCCCTCTGTGTCATCTCCCTTCCACTCCTCCTCTGTGATCAGAGAACAAGGTCACGCCAGCCCGCACATCAGCTGTGGCTTATTTCTCCTAGCGTCCTGTGTTCTTTCATGCTTCTGCTGCTTTGTAATTGTTGTGCTCCCACCTGGAAGACCTTCCATACATTCTCCATCCTAAGCAAATTTATTCACCTTTCAAGACCTGTTTTCAGTGGCATCTTTTAACGGAATCTTTCCCAAATTCCCTAGTAAGTCAGGTAGCACATCTTCCTTTAAACCACTCCACCACAGACAGATTTGACTCCAGAGTTGGAGCCCCTCATTACCTCCTGAGCTTCTGGAAAGTCTGGCCTCTGCTTAAACCATTTTTGGATGTTCTGTCCTCAGTGCACAATAAACCTTTAAAGTAATTACTGGTGGGAAAAAAGGAAGGAAGAAGGCACAGAGCACAGTAGGTAAAGAAAAACTAAATGAGTAAATACCTTATTGTAGGCATTAGGCAGAACAAAGATAAGAGACTATCCCTATTCTGACATTTGCACAGTTGGGCAACCCAAACCACCAAAATTTGGCCATAACATCTAAATTAACATGATCTTGATAAACTCATGTATTTTGGAAGGTCCAGAACTTGAAACAACAGGGGAAATCCTAACATGAGACAGTGTGATCATGAATTTAAATACCATGAAACCTGAATATACGGAATATATAATACAATTTTTTTATGTGAAGTATTAGCTAAAGGGTTAAAGAGATTAATATTTAATGATATCTCCATTAATCTTATGTTGGCTGTTTTTTAAATGTTTAATAAATAGGCATAGTTCTCTCACTAGCTCCCAAGAAGAAACAGTAAGATACCAGGATACACTGTACCTAGTTTACAGTTTAGTAGAGGTGATAAAACACATCTTGAAGAAAGATTTTGAATAAATTTCCACCTTTATGTGGAGGACAGAAAGCAGTATTTTATTCCCAGCCCGGACCATTCAGCACTAGCTTGGTAAATCATGGGACAAAAAAAAAAAAAAAAATATATATATATATATATATATATACACACACACACACACACACACACACACATATGTATATATATCGGCCGGGCGCAGTGGCTCACGCCTGTAATCCCAGCACTTTGGGAGGCTGAGGTGGGTGAATCACGAGGCCAGGAGATCGAGACCAGCCTAGCTAACATAGTGAAACTCCGTCTCTACTAAAAATGCAAAAAATTAGCCGGGCGTGGTGGCGGGCGCCTGTAGTCCCAGCTACTCCGGAGGCTGAGGCAGGAGAACGGCGTGAACCCGGGAGGCGGAGCTTGCAATGAGCTGAGATCGAGCCACTGCACTCCAGCCTGGGAAACAGAGCGAGATTCCATCTCAAATAATTATAAATAAATAAATAAATAAATAAATAAATAAATAAATAAATAAAAATAAATCATGCTCTATAGGACTCATTGAAAATATGAAGACTTAAGAAACCTCTGGCTAGAATGTTCACACACAAGAAAATATTTTCGTGATTGAAATTAAATGCAAACGTATTGAGAGAATGTTAGTAAGGAGGAAATTGAGTTATGGGGTCTAAATTAATAAAGAAACCCCAAAGGGTTAGACAAAATGTAAAAACACAAATACAGAGCTCATGGTTGTGACTGCATCCCACTAGTTAGACACCACTAGGCATGGTATTTCACAATAAATAAAAAAAGTTTGTGTACCCATGAAAGAGGCTACCAGACTACTGTATTTATAAAATATTTTAAAAAGTTGCGAAGTACATACAAATGGCCATTCATCAGAGGATAGCTCTCTTCATGTTAAGCTGGGCTATATTTGAAGTTAGAGTGAAATTTTCTTTTGCCATGACTATGCCCTCAAACATTTCTATAAATACTTTCTACACTTTAAGAAATACTTGTCTTCATATATGAAAACATGCCAATATGTTTCAGAGCAATTCCAATTCATATCTGAATTCTGCAATAAGCTACATAGTACCTTGGTGGCTGTTATTATTTTCTTCTCAAGAATGTTGGACTTTCAAAGCAATGATGACCCCTTGAAACACAGATTTAGATGATTTTGTTTAAAAGGAGGTTGATTTCCACTGTCTATCTCACTAAACATTAAATTACTCCCTGTTATATTTCATATCCCCAGATATGAAATAATCTGTTTTTGATCAGCTTCCAACAAAAAATATTATGTCTAGCAGGATCCCATTTGCTATTTTGAGTCCACTGTGTCACCAATTTTCAAGTTTTTAAATCTGGTGTCTTAGTTCAGGCTGCTGTAAAGAAGAATATCATGGACTGTGTGGGCTTAAAAAGCAAATATACATTTCTTATAGTTCTAGAAGTTGGGAAGTCCAAGCCAGCATATTTGAAGTCTGAAGAAAGTTGCCTTCTTGATGAATCTTCACATGGCTGACAGAGAGAGCTCTAGTTTCTTCAGATTCTTTCAGTGCTTCATCCTATTCATGTGGACTCCACCCTCATGATTTAATCACCTCTCAGATACCCTGCCCCTAAATACCTCACTTTGGGGATTAGACCTCAATTTTAGAGGAACACAGATATTCAGCCCATAGCAGCAAGTAGTGTTTATTTTGGTCAAAATAAAAATAAGATAAAATCTAGACATTTAGATCTCAAAAGTTATATAAAAATTAGATTTAAAGCAGTTGGCATTAAAGCACAAACTCATTTGTGCATCTGTTGCTCACAAAATAATTATATTTATTCAATCCAAATTAAACATTTGCTAGTAAAATCCTAACTACATTATGCCTTCCCCCACCCACCCCTTTTCTTAAGTATTTTCATTTCTGAACAAAATGCACTTTCAAAAATCCTGATCTTTTCTGAACTCATAAGCAAAATAAGAGGGCTAATTTCAGAAATTTACCACTGCCTTTTTTTAACCTTTTATTGTGACAGAATAATAGCATACTACGAGTGAGCCACACTTAAGGGAAAAAAACTGTAGCAATTATTTGAATCATTCTTTTTTGGAGGATCAGAAAACCTATGAAATGGTAATTTTTGAACATTCAAATGTTTCAAGGAAAGTGTTAAATAGTTCTTGCTTAGCCTAGTGCTCTAAAACTTTCTTCTAGTACAATGTAATCCAATTTTCTATACAAAGAAAGAAAGCTTTTATTGAAAGGGAGAACTCAATTTTTACCAAATTATACACAGTTTATAACTAGGCTCAGTGAAAAAAAAATTGCTATAATAATTCAAAACTTAATGATTCAAATCAATAAAATACATTACTATCTCTAGATAAATCAGTTATTGGAAAATGAGGTCTAGTTACAAGGTGAAGGGCTATGCCATCCTTGAAGATCTGTTTCTGTGACTACAATGACCAAATATATGGCTCTGATATGAGCATTCTGTTTTATTTTGCAGAGTTGTTTTCTGGCCAGGCTCTTTAATCTGCAGATGAAATCAATTATGATTTCTATAGTGGAATGTTCCAACTGGAGTTTAAGAAATTCAGATATTTCGAGCCTTTATTTGACATTGCTGAGCTATTCTGAGAGTAATTTCCTGCAATGGCACTAAAAAGCAAATTAGAAGAACACCTATCCAGAGCCAAGAGATTGAAATGGGTTGTTCATCAGAGGGGAAGTGAAATGACGACTGCATCATTGTTTTGTCAACAGTGAATATTTTGTAATCTAGGTAGTATAAGATTAATACCCACTGAGTGGACAGGGTCTGCTTTCTGTCACATTCAAGACCAAGCATCACTGCTTTGGGGTTTCTCTAACACAGTACATTACACAAGGAAGAGACTCAATCTTTCCAATTCTGTATTTTGTAAAAATTTGAAATTCTAATAGTTTGGAGGCCTTCAAACATCTCATAAATATTTTGCATGGAAGAAAATCTCATGAACAGTTGTTGAACATTGTGAAGATTTTACATGCTTAGAAAAGCATTGACAACTAAAAGGAGGGGAGTTGCTGGGGCCTTTATTGGGAAGAGAACCATGCTTGATCCCAAGGCTAATGTAACAACTTCAGGGATATCATTTGCATTAAGAGCTATGTAAATGATGTTCCCTATGCTCCTGTGAAATTCCCATTGGGAACTTCCCAAATTCCTGATGAGAGAAAGCAGCTATGCAGAGGGAATGAGTTTCTATGAGTGCCATGGAAATCATACAAGAAGCACATTCCACTTATGCTTTAAATAGTAGGTATTTCCCACAGCATTTTTATCTTAAACTTCAGAAACCTTTCCTTATGCAGTTCATTTTGTATTTTCAAATGCCTGAGGGCAAATTCAGAGGCACGGGGCAAGGCAGAACTCTTCGGCTGTATTTCTAATACATTCAGCTTTTCTAAATACAGCAAAAAGGGTCTGAGGCTGAGACTGACACAAAAATTTTGAGATTCATTTCTGGCATTTGTCATGAATTCTTCATTATCCCTGTTAAATTCCTGAAACCATATCTGTGCATCCATTTCCTTTTTTTCCCTAGAACACTGGAACTACCTCACAGTGTCATTGCAAAATACTTATGAGATAGTAAATGCAAGTCACATAGAGCATTACAACATGTCATAAAATGAATGCCCTTTTCACTTAAAAGCTCCACTTCTCAGCCACTGGTTTGGATATTATGGATGCATTAATTTATGTCAATATTTCTGTCCTATCACTTGTGGACAAGAAAAATGTGCTAGAATTCATTGAAAGGGATGTTAGAAGTAATTTTTATTTCCACACTCTTCTATACATGTCTTTTCCCTAATTGTGGATTTTATCAGTATTTGCTAATTCAAGGAGAATTTTTCCTTTAAGTAGGCATTCATAAGGTTACACTCAAAATTGTATTCTGCTACAAGCTAAGATTGTTGGATCTTTAATTTTCCTCTAACATATAATCTGATACAAATTGAACCATGGAAGTTCAGCTTTATTTCAAACCTGTAGGATGTAAAGTGCTGAGATCAGAAGTTTTGAAACTGGAATTCGAATTCCTGGTCCACAAAAGTCTTGCTTTGTGATCATAGGAAATGGTTACTTTCTCTTCATTATTTATTTCTTCTGTGTTTCAAATAAGCACTATAATGTTTGCCACACACATTTCAAAAACGCACTCTCACTTTCAATTATGATAACGAAACTAAAGATTAAGAGATTAATTCTACCGGTGAGAAAAATGATAAAGGATTAATAAAATACATTAAGTCGCTGTTTGGAGGCGTAAGAAAATAGCCAGGGCAGGCATGAGAAGGGAAGAATACCAAGGGGAGCCCCTATTCACTTGCTTTTGCCTTCAAAAATATGCCGTTCACATTATAGGTATATGGAGGCCATGGTGACCTAAAGACTTGGGTACCTCAAAGTGGGCTGGGGAGACACAGTCTGGAGTTGAAGGCTCCCAGGGTGACAAAGACTTAGGGGCAAAATACCAGATGCAAATGCCAAAAATAAGTGAGTCTGAAATGTTGTAGATGATTTCTCCTTTTAGGCATTGCCCAGTCCTTAAACTTTCTATGTGCGAGGTAAGACTCCTAGAAAGTAAAAAGCAATACCCGAAGGGCTAAAAAGCTGAGAAGATATTTTGGCAGCCTCAATACTAAGAAGTTAGAATTCAGGACGGGTCAAGGTGGTAAAAAGAAAGACAGGCTGGGCATGGTGGCTCATGCCTGTCATCCCAGCACTTTTGGAGGCTGAGGCAGGCAGATTACCTGAGGTCAGGAGTTCAAGACCAGCATGGCCAACGTGGTGAAACCCCTTTTCTACCCAAAATAGAAAAATTAGCTGGGCGTGGTGGCGCCTGTAATCCCAACTACTTGGGAGGCTGAGGCAGTAGAATCCCTTCAACCCAGGAGGCGGAAGGTTGCAGTAAGCTGAGATCGCACCATTGCACTCCAGCCAGGGCAACAGAACAAGACTCCGTCTCAACAACAAAAAAAAAAAAAAAAAGAGAGAAAAAGAAAAAAGAAAGGAGGGAGGAAGGGAGAGAAGGAGGAAAGGAAGGAAAGGAAGGAAAAGGAGGAGAGAAGAAAGGAGAGAAGAAGAATTTCAAGTGAGACCCCAGAATACACAGTATGAATGGGAACTCTACCCTAGAAATAAGGGCAGCCTACAATAGGCCAGCCCAGGGGTAACTGGAAATACAGACTCCACTGGAATACGATGTTTTACTTGTATTTATCTACCTGCCAGAGTAAAATTTAACCCTCTCTGGAGTACAAGAGCATTACTCAAAGCATAAAATATCTGGTATTTAGTGAAAGATTAACAGGCAAGCCAACAAACAAACCAAATGACTAAAAAAATCCAAGGTAAATAACAGAGAAAAGATCTAATAGTGAGCTAAATGTTGGAGCTGTGAGAAATAAACTTTAAAATAACTATGCTTAATATGTTCAGAAGATACAAAAAAAAATTCTGGAAATGTAAAGAATTCCAGGAAACGAAAGAAATTCTGGAAATTTTAGAAAGGAAGATAAAATTAACAATTTAAATATTCAAGAGATAGGTTATATAAAATAACACAAAAATATGATCATATAACTTACATTAAGGAAATTAAAACTAAGCAAAGAAGATATAATTATGCACATATTTAAATTAAAAATATTTTTTAAATGCACTGATAATAGGATAATAGTATTACTGTTGGCACTGGTGGTGAGCTTATAAAATCAATATTACAATCTTAACTCTGGAAAATTTTTGGTAGTAACCACTAAAATTAAACACACACAATTTCACTTCATATAAGGAATCTATTCATATTTTTTAAAAATTTATGTACATGACCATTGATAGAGGCATTATTCACAATAATTTCAAACTAACAACAATCCAATTGCTTATCAATGGTAGGATAAATAGTGCTTTATTAATTAATAGACTATAACCCAGCAATAAAAATTTTAAAGTTCTGCTACACAAAACAATATAAATATATTGGATGGGCATAATATAGAGTAACAGAAACCAGATGAAAAGCAACACATACTATATAACTCTTAATGTGAAGTACACAAAAAGACATTGTTAATTTATGATGTTAAAAGTCTCATTAGAGATCACCTTTAAGAGTTAGGAGTTTACCAGAAGAAACTACAAGGAAAGCTTCTGTTGTGCTAATGTTTTTTCATCAGGGTGATCGTTATAGATGTTTATACATTTTAAAAACTCATACACAAGATTAGTACACTTAACTTTATACTGTAGTTCACTTTAAAAGTTTTAACAATTTTGAGAATTAGATTTCATCATACAGGAGTACTTTGAAAAAGTTAAAAAGAAAAGCATATTATTTTTACCAACTTGTTATTTCTGATTCTCAATTTCACATTTGAGAAACCAAAATAAATAGATATCCTTTTTGACTGAAAAAGCAAGGTGTCTCCAAGGACGGACTGATCTCTGATCTTTCAAGCATTAGTTCCTCCCAAGTAGTACACGGTCAATATTGGATTTATTAAAACTAATTTTAAATTTTAAAATGTCATTTCAATTTAGCTTCTATCAACTCAAAATTTATGTGCAGAAAAAGACATTTCCTTTGCCTAAGGAGCAGGTTGCTGGAACCTGGCAAGGTCCCTTTGAAGGGTAAAAATCGTTTTATACCTGGGGAATCCAATATTTATTTGAGCCTGCTGAATAGTCTGAGGCATAACAATAAAATATTTTGATCAAATGGTGTCAAATAAGGAAAGAAAAAACATACACATAAATGGGAATCTGGTTGCACTTTTTACTTAAGGATGTAGAATTAATAGCTATTTCTTTATTAATTACAGGGTTTTTTTTTCTTGTGTCAAGTCAGTAACTAATCAATGCCCTAAATGAATAGAACAGTCTCTTTCTATAACATTAAGCCACATGAACCCATGCGCCTCAACAAATGTTTTTAGAGACATTTTGCCTAAGTATTTGGTGCAGAAACCCATTTTTAATGTATAAACGTGGAAATTACCAATATAATAAATTATATCCACTCTAAATAATTCTATGACTAGAAATTACCTTAGAAATCTCCTTGTCCCTTTCCCTCATTTTGCGTATTCAAAAAATTAAGTGAGATAGGTGAGCTCAGTTGGTGAAACTCACACGGCTTTCTCAATCTAAAATTAGACACAGATTTTCTGATTATTATTTTTTTTTCTTTTTCCAATGGGCTTTGAAATAGTTGCTGTAAAAACAGCATCAAGGTAGAACTCAACCCTACTCCCAATGCCTCCCATTCTTCCAGAGCTATCCTACCACATCTACGTTTCACACTTTTGCAATAAGAGTTACACAACAAAAAATAGTCCTTCTGTTAACAGAAACTGTAAAACTCACTGATACGTGTAAGAACTGAAGGATTCTAGAACAGAGAGTTTGTGTATGGCTCATTAAGAGTTAGGGGTGTCTTGATGGAACAGAAGTTAGGGATTGGTGAAATTTCAGATGGAAAAGTTCGTTAAGGCTAGACTTAGCAGGTCTTAATGCTGGCTCAAATTACCTGGACATTTTTGTATAAGTACAGAATCTTTGTTTTTAAAGTGACGATGAAAGGGAATATTTCTTGGAGTATCTCTAATACGTTGGTGGGGTCTGAGTTAGTGGTTTAGGGGCAGTTTGTTATCAATACAGTAAGTCAAAGAATTCTAATAGTAAATTCCCTGATGGAATGCTATTGCAGCCAAAAATTAAAGCATTGACTAACCTGTTGCCTGGAATGTACTGCTGTTTAGCAGCCTGCTAACTGTCTCCACATTTATGACCACGGATATTATGTGAAAAGTCAATGCAGAGTGATTGGTACTGAACATTACCTACTTGGAGGGCACAGCTAGGGTGGACAGCCTCAACATCACACTCTTCTGTATTTCCACATTTGTTTTCTCTGTCTCTGAAAGTTTAGGCTTTTTAACTCACGTATTTAAAGTCTGTGTAAATAAGGCAAATCTCCTATTTTATTATCGCTTTGCTCTACCCCCAACTCATCATTCTGCTCCTTATCCACAGATTTTGTTTCATATGTGTCATTTACCTTGCACGTGAGTGGCCCTAACGATGAATCTGGACAGGTCATTGGATATGAATAGATGGATATAACACCTCTTTTTATTTTTCCTTTCTTCCTTTCCTCTTTTATGCATTAAAAAACATTCCTGAGTATCTACGCTCTTCTGTGTGTGACTGTACTAAATTCTGGAGCGATAAGAAAGATCTAGTTCCTGACTCTGGGTAGTTAGAGCAATGAGAACATCGGCAGGAAATGTAGACAAGCATCTGTGTTCAAAGAAACAGCAAATGGTAATGGGTGGATTCAGCACAGAGGCTGAAAGAGTAGATGAAAGAGAAGAACCTGATTACAATGACTTTTTCAAAATGAGAATTCTTACCTCCAAAAGATTAATTTACTAAAGGCCACCCAATATATAAGTGGCAGAAGCATCTCTCAAACTTCTCCTCTCAGTCCAAGTCCTATCCTCTTCAGAATTACCAGACCAACGTTATTCATCTATTTTCAACCTCTTCCTAACTTTGCTTTCAATCTTGTTTCTTCCATTTTCCTTTGATAACCTTAAAGTTCTGTTCAGATTTCCATTACTACAAACTCAAGTTCCTAGGTTTGCCTTTCCTTGTTAAGACCACATGAGGCTAAATTCTCTTAAAAATCTAAAACAAAATAGCATTTAATCAGTATACATTTTATATTTTACATCCATACAACTGGTTTTCATTTTCCTAGGCATTCTTTCTTCAAGTTGGAGCTTACTGGTAAGTCGTAACCACATAGCTGATAAATGCAGAAGTCTTCCAACTGAGGGTGGAAGGGGCAGGTTCCCTTATTCATCCACTCACCCAAAATATTATTTGCTTGCTCCCCAAAAAGGCCATTTATTTGGTAATTACTAGTGGAAATGACAGTGTGAAGCTTACATCTTTGTAATCATTGTACATCTTTGTAATCAATGACAACCCTGGATCCAAATTTGACCAAGATTTCAAAAAAGAAAGTGATGTGGAAGAAAATTTGAACTCAAAGTTTTCTGACTTCAGGTCATATGTTCTTATTACTATACCACACAATTTAAAGTTTAGTGTTTCATCCTTGCTCTACCCAAGTTTCCTATTGCAAAACGTCTTTAAATCTATGTCTGAGGAGGGTAAAGGCAGTGATTTAAACTTTTGGTTTCCATCTGCAGATACAAAAAGGTAGAAAGAACACTGCTTCCAAACTTTCAAGAAATAGCCAAGCAAGCCACTTGTTCACAACTTCTCTTGAACATACTGAGGTTTCAGAGCAACCAACTAACCCAGCGTTAGAAGGAAGTCATGTGTCTTTAGGGGCAGAAGAGGCAGGTGCCTTGGCTTACCTGGTAAAGATGCAGGTCAGAAATATTTACCTAGAGATGTGGTGACTTGGGGGAGGCCAGCTGATTATTCTCCGCGAGAGGGTGAAGTTCCTGGGAGATGCAAATATTTGGGGGTATATATCCTCTTGCAGACTCTTGTTTCCCCACAAACACCATAAGATGTTCCTAGAAAAGATTAGGAGAGTCATCAGACATTCTCTCTCATGTTCCAAAACTGGAGGAGGAAATAGAAGCTGATTCAAGAGAGGGGGAAAACTAAGGTAGAAACTGCAACTTATGTTTCCTGTATGAAACAAAAATATGAATCTTTGGAGGGAGAAAGTAAACACTATGAAGCTGGGGTTATCAGTTTATAACTATCGCAGCTGGGGAAATGACCAGGAAAAGTCTCTATAATTCTGGGGGAAGATCTAAAATAGTTTCTAGACTCAGAATTGTAAGGGAGGGAAGACTGAAAAGACTATGTCCTCAAGACCCATAGATATGGTGCTTATTTAGGACTGAGACTGTGGTCCAAACAACAGAAAATTTCCCCACAGTGCCCACCAATCCCTTAAGCAGGCTAGCAAACCCCTCACAGGTAACTGGCCAGAGACAGACCCTTGCTGAGGTGCAGCACAAAGGAGAACCCCAAAGCTGAGGGTAGAGAAGACACTGAAAAAATGAATAAAAAATTACTAAACACAAAGTGTCCTCTGGATAATTTAATACCTGTGACAGACAGAGGGTAATCACAGGAATAACAAACTTCAAACCCAGCTCAATTTCTAATTATATTAACTCAAAACTGGGCCCTAAGGCCTAGTAGAAGAAAGAGTGTTACCATTCTAGGGGTCAAATCTGTCTACCTAAGTCTCAACTCAGCTACCCAAGCTATCTGCCTTTTGTAATAAAATTAAAGTACATATGGCTAGAAAAAGCAATGGACTCCTGAGACAAAAAACAATCATCACAGCCAGATTCACATATATGACACAGATGTAGCAAATATCTGTTAGGTAATTTAAGATAACTCTGATGCATATGAGCGATAAATAGCACTAAGAAATTGATATCATACATCATCAAATATGGTACATTAGAAGTGGCACATCACCAAAAATGTATGCCCTCAGTCTAATTACAGGAAAACATCAGACACACACAAATCAAGAGATAGTCTACAAAATATCTGAAAAGCATTCTTCGAAACGTCAAGGTTATGAAAGACAAGAAAATACTCAGGAACTGTCACCAGCTCCTTAGAAGAATATGAAGACATGCAACAATTAATGCAATGTGGTTTCCTGGATTGGATTCTGAACTGGAAAAAAAGAACATTAATAGAAATTTGGTAACATGTGAATCAAGTTTATAGTTAACAGTGCACCAATGCTAATTTCTAAGTTTTGACAATTGGACTGTGTAAGATGATAACATTAGTATAAGCTAAGTGAAGAATTCTTGGGAAGGCTCTGTATTATTTTCACGATTGTTTTTTAAGTCTAAAATATGTATTAATAAGTTTCTGTTTGCTGGCCGGGCGCGGTGGCTCACGCCTGTAATCCCAGCACTTTGGGAGGCCAAGGCAGGCGGATCACGAGGTCAGGAGATCGAGACCATCCTGGCTAACACGGTGAAACCCCGTCTCTACTAAAAATACAAAAAATTAGCCGGGCGTAGTGGCAGGCGCCTGTAGTCCCAGCTACTCGGGAGACTGAGGCAGGAGAATGACGTGAACCCGGGAGGCGGAGCTTGCAGTGAGCCGAGATCGAGCCACTGCACTCCAGCCTGGGCGACAGAGCGAGACACCGTCTCAAAAACAAAAAACAAAACAAAACAAAAAAACAGTTTCTGTTTGCCTGCTAATGTAGTCAACAAATATTTGTTGGATGCGTGGTATGTCCTGGGCATTCTAGGAGGCACTGAAAAAATATTTCATGGCTTCATGGTATTTATAGTCTACAAAGGAAGACAAGTATTACCTAAATAAGCTAATAAGTATTTTGTTACAAATCCTTAATGAAAGCTACACTATAGCATAAGTAGCTATCAAATGGGACATTTCCTGAGAGCAATGATGGTCTACACTAAATTACCATGCAAGCAACCCTGAAGGTCAGAACAGAACTTCCCAGAGAAGTTAAACTTCCCAGAGAAGTTAAAATGCTTGAATAACATGGTGTGTTAAAATCTATTTAAAGAACACAAGGATAAGCAGCATGAAAGAGATGGGTAAGTGAATATACTTAGGACAGGCTACAGGTGGGTTGGGAGGGCCACACGCTACCTGAATCCTGTGTTTTCAATAGTCCTATGTTCTGTCTGTCTCTCAGCCACATCACCTTTCTCATTGATGACATTTTTATCAGACCAGAGTTGAGGTTCAAGCAAAGGAAACTACAGACAGAAGATGGCCAGGACCAATGACACTCTTAAGTGTGCTTGACCATAGCTGTAGCTTAATGAACAGCTTGGACAGAAGACATATGGGTCCAGAATGGGTGTCGCCACTGAGTGACAAAATTAAGGCCTCATGAATTTCAGTGCTTCTTATATCTCACTTATAGTTGGAATATTCTGAACATTGAGTGCCTCTTGTCTATGTAGTATCTAGTATGTATCATAAATACTTAATATCCAAGTGCTTCATGAATATTAGGTATCTTTCAGTCCTTCCGTCTCTTTCTATCTATTTGCACTCCTCATAAAGCTTTCCTCACTCTACTGAATTTCGCTTTTTCAAAATTAGGTAAGAGGTGGAGAGGGAGTTAAGTTTAGAAACGATTTCACTGGTAGAGCTGTAATGTGGAATTGGTATAATTAGGATAGCAAGTGGTTCCAATGCTTTCACTCATGGGAGGTTTTTGTGGGATCTTCAACCCCCCTACCATTACAAAGACATTATTATTTCTTGTGGTTACCGGGCATGAGTGATGCCCACTTCAGGTGATGGTGTGTGACAACCCCTTCACTACAGGCTCAGGAAACTCTCTTTTGGAGAAGATTCACTCCTCCACATACTCTTCTTGAGTCCGGTGACTTCTAAGATAAAACCCTTTTATTTGGACAGTGCTCAAACCAGGAAAAACAGGATGCTAGCTCATGTCTTCAGAGAACAAATTGACATCATTCTGGCTCATTTCTTCCTCTCTGTAATCAGGAGCTATTTCAGAAGTGAGTCAGATAAAAGCCCAAATTTAACTGGCTGGAAGTGAGGAGAAAAGAACTCCAGCCCCATCATCCCTGGAAGCACACAGCATATTGATTGTACTTTCCAAAGAATTTCTTATTGCTGGAATCTATCTAGAAGCAGAATGAAATAAGAGTTGCAAAGCTGGCTTAACAATCTCTTGATCACCCCTTCATTAAAGATCTGGTCTTCACCAATAGTCTTAAGAAAAAAGTCAAATTTAATACTTCATTCCTTTTTAAAATATAACATGTGGCTGGGCATGGTGGCTCACTCCTGTAATTCCAGCAATTTGGGATGCCGAGGCAAGCAGATCACTTGAGGTCAGGAGTTCAAGACCAACCTGACCAACATGGTGAAACCCCCTTTCTACTTAAAAAAAAAAAAAAAGAGTTGGCTGGGAGTGGTGGCACCCACCTGTTATTCCAGCTATTTGGGAGGCTGAGGCAGGTGGATCACCTGAGGTCGGGAGATCAAGACCAGCCTGACCAACATGATGAAACCCTGTCTCTACTTAAAATACAAAAATTAGCCAGGTGTGGTGGTGCATGCCTGTAATCCCAGCTACTCAGGAGGCTGAGGCACAAGAATTGCTTGAACCTGGGAGGAGGTTGCAGTGAGCCAAGATCACATCACTGCACTCCAGCCTGGGCAACAGAGCAAAACTCCATCTCAATCAATCAATCAATCAAAACATGCAATTACTATTTTTAATCACTGTTAATCTATACACCGATTAACCTGCCACTTACCTAATTGACAGTTATTTTTTCAAGTTGACAATTTAAAAGAAAAGTGCATCCTTAGGAAAAAAAACACAGTTCTTTATATTTACTTTTATTTAAACATATTCTATTTGTTTGGATAAACTGTATTGTAATGATTTATAACCTCTTTTAGATCATTTTAATACCCTTAGAAATTATAAATCTATCTATATTTTGAACTTTCACAAAGATATTACCAGAAACTTAGCAATAATGCTCAGAATAAACCATTTAGTTTTTTTTTTTAAATGGAATTTTTCATGCTAGAGCCACCTTGGCATATTATTTAGGATAACTTTCCACTGGTTGAAGAGTTCTGTGTCTCCATGGATACAAAACCAGGAGGTAATATGACAATGTAATTTTACCTAATTATTGTCTAAAAGTTAAACCCATTAAATTGAAAAGATGATCAAAACTCTTAGTGCTTTTAATTGATGTTTTTAAAGTATTGTATACCTTAGTGAGAGTAAGTTTTTACAGACAGGGAATACAGTAAGTGAACATATCTTTAGGAAAAGCCTACAGATTGTCAACTTTGCTGTCACTCTTTTTTTCAGCCTTCTCGATGACAGAACATAGAACAATCCATCAAGTTGCAAAAGGTTGATCTGATTCCGTCACAGCCAGCTGGGGGAAAATTCAACTGAAAAATGGCCAATTTAAAGGCACTGTGAAGACCAAACAAGCTCACTTCCCCAGGGTCCAACAGATAAGGAAAGTAATGAAGTGGCAAACAATAAAAGAAGAGGGAAAGACAGGGTCATCCTCTGCCTCACTGAGGCTGGGCATGTAATGCTTCAGTACATGCAGGGCACAAATGCAGGCATTAATGTGATCATTCATAATTAACATAATGATCTGATTTTGTCTACTTGGGTACTATCAGGAAGACCTTTTTCATGAGTCTTTCTTCACTTGGATCTGGATATCTCTAACATTCAGATCATAAATTCCATACCAGAGTTCTGATTAAGCTGGCATTAAAAGTTATAATCTGAGGCAATTCTTCTTCACTGAAAATATAATAGATAAAAGACACATTTAAAAAGATCTAGCCATGTATAAAATCAAATACCTGACAACTAGAAAACAAAACAGCAGAACTGAAGCCACTCTCTCTGGGCTCTAGATTTCTTTTTTCTTTTTTAATTTTATTATACTAACTTCTGGGATACACGTGCATAATGTCCAGGTTTGTTACATAGGTATACATGTGCCATGGTGGTTTGCTGCACCTATCAATCTGTCATCTAGGTTTTAAGCCCCACATGCATTAAGTATTTGTCTTAATGCACTCCCATCCCTTGCCACCTGCCCTTCCCCAACAGGCCCCAGTATGTGATGTTTCCCTCCCTGTATCCATGTGTTCTCATTGTTCAACTCCCACTTATGAGTGAGAACACACAGTGTTTGGTTTTCTCTTCCTGTATTAGTTTGTTGAGGGTGATGGCTTCCAGCTTCATCCATGCCCCTGCAAAGGACATGATCTCATTCTTGTATATGGCTGCATAGTATTCCATGGTGTATACGTGCCACATTTTCTTTATCCAGTCTATCATCGATGGGCATTTAGGTTGGTTTCAAGTCTTTGCTATTGTAGTGCTGCAATAAATATACGTGTGAATGTGTCTTTACAGTAGAATGATTTATAATCCTTTGGGTATATATCCAGTAATGGGATTGCTGGGTCAAATGGTATTTCTAGTTGTAGATCCTTGAGGAATCGCCACACTGTCTTCCACAATGCTGGTGAGGCTGTGGTGAAATGGGCTCTAGATTTCTAAGCAGGAAGGAACAGTTGAGAATTTGAGTCAGATGGCATTACAAGGAAAAAGCTCCCCAGAAAAGGTGAAAAAACGGAGACAGGATTGTTGTGTTAAAAGCAAGACATGATAAAGGACCTTTTGTTATCAAGATAAAAAAGCTGAAAAAGGACAGAGGCACAAATGCAGGCTTGGCCACTGCGTTAGTAACAGCAGCAGAGCCAACATGGAGTAGGAACTGAGCCATACACATGACTCTCAGTTCTCAACTGGGAGCCTCGGGATGCTGGGTGGAAAAAACTGCAAAACCCCAAAAGCATGAAAAGCAGATGGAGAGAGAAGTAGAGAGTCTTCCCTCAAAGGCCAGTAAAATGAAACTCAAGATATATAAAATATGATAGAAACATAAAAGTTACCAATAAAATCAGCACTAGGTAGATGAATTCCCTTCTGTAAAATGAAAATGACATAGCAATGAGACAAAATTCAACGATTGTACTCAATCCCCTAAACATTTATTGAATAGATAACATTGATAAAAAATAACTTAAATGGAAATAAAGTTTGAATATGTGTAAATATTCTACCATTCAGTATACCTTTGCTATATGTATAATTCAGAGAAATTGAAGCAAATTTAGCAAAATGTTAAAATTATTAAAGTCTATACATCTTATGTGTTATTTTACATAATGAGTTACATAGTTAAAATCTTTGACATTTTTAGAGCAATTTCTCATCGTTTTTAAATTTCTGGATACCAAGTATCTTATAGGGCACATGTTATTTCTATGCTGCTGAAGACATATTGAGTAAGAGAGTTTTAATCAATGGTCCATAGCCAGCAACAGAGTATCACTCAAACTTAGGTCTTCTGATGCAAAAGCCCTTTAATGTGGCTCCAAAGGTTATTAACTTTATTTTCTGTGCTATCTTAATTTCCTCACTTGGAATTTATTAGTATGGTAGAAAAATGAAATGTCATATTTAAAGCACCAAATGAGTCTTCAGTAAATGTTACTATCCTTTCTTTTGATCTTTCTGACAACTTTTTGCTTTCTTAGTGTTTGTTACTTCACTAATAATTTAAACATTCTGTGCAGCCGGAACCAAGTTTAAGATTTATATTTCTTTAT
Source organism: Homo sapiens (assembly GCF_000001405.40). Lineage (NCBI taxonomy): Eukaryota > Metazoa > Chordata > Mammalia > Primates > Hominidae > Homo > Homo sapiens. The sequence goes on along the minus strand of NT_187531.1, from coordinate 107,619 downwards.
CCACCTCATTCATCATCACCAGGTACATATTTCTGCTATCTATAATAATAACATCTTGGTTCCTCACAGCTAACATGTAAAATGGGTAAGGAAAGTGCTCATTTTAACATTTTTTTTTTTTTAGTTAAAAATCTGAAGCTCAGGGTTACATGATTCACCCAAGTTCACAAAACTAAGAGGAAATTGAGCTACAATTTTAAATTTGGTTTTCTGATTACAAATTCATAATTTTCCTGTAAATGTGAGGTTTTCAATTATCTACCAACATAACTAATTTTATATATTAATTGTTATTCTCAGAACTTCTTACTCAAACAAAATTATTGGTGGAAGCTCATTGTGTCAAATAAATGACAGTGAATCTTCTGTTGCTATGAGGGCATGCGGGAGGGGGGTGTCATAAAGGCAAGGCCAGAGACCTGGAGGTTCTGATTGCATAGGTTAGGGTGGGGGCCCAGGGACTTCTATTTTCACAAGTTCCCAGGGGATGCTGATGCTGCTGGTCTAGAGACCATAACTTAGAGAATCATTGTTCTAATTGCTTGCTACACCCTTTGTATGGTCTGCAAAAAGCAGCATCAGCCTCACCTGGGAATTTGTTAGAAATTCAGAATCTCAGACCCCACTGCAGATCCACTGAAATAGGATGTGTGTTTTACTAAGATATGTATGTACATAAATGAGAAGCTCTGGTTTGATATGCTGGGTCTCAGCCCTATGCACATTAGCATAACTTGGTACAATATCAACAAATACATGCTTGGTTCTCTCCCAAAAATATTTTAATTGGTCTAGGGTATGGCCAGGCATTGGTATATTTTAAACGCTTCTCAGGTGATTCAAAAGAGCAACTACATATGTGAGCCAAAGTCCTAGAATACGTCATTTCCCACACTTACCTTAGATTTTAAAAAATCTGACAAGTTGATAAAACAGCAAATTCTTAGGCACCTCTTATAAAAATATTCAGTAGATCAAAGAGGAGCCACACATTTATAATTTTAATATGAATTCTAAGTCATTCTTATTGTAAGTTTGGAAAATTGCACTCCAGAATTGTACCCAAATCCCTAAAATAAATGGATTGTATTTTGGTAACATTTTTATCTGTTGTACCATTTTAAAAGTGCTTCAAACAACATATACAATTTCATAATTTCATAGCATAATTTGGAGACTTATACTTTAAAATGTGTTTATACTATGAAAATATATACATACAGACAGACAGACATAGATAGATAGATAGATAGATAGATAGATAGATAGATAGATGCTAGATAAAGGGATCTTCAGAGATAGGCATTATTTTAATAGAATAACTAAGTTGAACTGTTGGGAAATCATTCTAGTTCTGGCTTTCTCTTTAATTTAATTTCTTTTAACATGTATCAATGTTGACGACTCTTAACATCCTTGGATGTCAATTTCTTCATTCATAGATAGAAAAGAGCGTATCAAATGACTGTGGCTTTAAAAAGTATTATCATTTAAGTAAACGTAATGACGTGTAGCAGCCATCGGAAAGTTAACTGCCAACCTTGATTTTAACATCTGGTTTCTTCTGACATATTGCCCACTATGTATTTATTGATAATAATTGTCACTTCCCAAGAGACTTCCAGCAAAATCTTTGTTCAAGCAAAATTATGCCACAGAAGAGACCATCACCTTCACTGATTCCCAATAATATCTCAAAATGGGATAACTGGAAACTGGTCTTTACAGGGTGCATGGGCTGGGCTGGGTGATTTTAAGGTAAGACTTGTAAGGCAGGAAACCGTTTAAGAAAGCAAAGCATATGACCTAGTAACTTTGAATTAATGGTTGCAGTGAAGTGAAGTGAGGTTCTTACAAGTGATTCTTAATGAGGAAAACTATTAACTAAGCTGTTTAGTTGGTTCACAAGAACAAGAATTTCTTGGAACAAGCAGCTAAATTATTGTTGCCTGATCCAGACTACTTTAGCACAAAAGCATGAAAATATGCTTTCTCCTAGAATTGGTTAGCATGATAACAGAAAAGATGTTGACTTCCGTTCTCTATACTTAATGAAAATATGTTTACGGGGTTTCTGTGTTGTTACAATAATCAATTGCATATTCCAAAACAGTTTGTAGTTAAATCTCAGCCCCTTTCTTCATTAGTACTCATTAGTTGGGCCAGCACATCTCTTCTCGGACCCCTTGGACTTCTGTAGCCAGATAACCCCTAAATTCAGGATACTTTGCCTTCATCCACTAGGAGGATAGTCATCAGATTTGTCCACTATTGTTTTCAGGATTATGGCTACCACAGGTCATTTGCAAAGGACAATATTAAATCTCAACTGCTATCTACCCATTCAACATGGGTCACAGTCAATACTGACCTAATACACTGTCAGCCACAGGGGCTCAACTCTCTCAGGTATCTATGGATCTGGTCTCAGGAATTCTTTGTTCATTATCCTTTGTACAGAGTACAGAGGCTGTCCACGGTGAAGTTGCCTGGTGTGGCATGAACTTTTATTTTGGAAAATAAAAATTCAAAAGTATTTCCAATAAAAACAACTGCTGGGATAGAAAATGGAAAGCGAGCATGTCAGCAAGCACTCCAAGTTAAGAAAAAGGTCAGAATAGCATGGGGCGCTTAAGAGCACAGACTAGGCATATGTAAGGGGAATGGGAAGTGGAAATAACAAATATGAAGCAAACGCTATGATTCCAGAAATATGAATCATTTCCATTCAAACTTCATTCAGTGATGCTATGAGATACATATCATTATCTCCATTTTAAACAAGTGGGGAAACCTGAGATCAAACGAAATAACAGACTTGTCCCAAGTCAGCAGTAATCTAGGATAGAGCAGTTTGCGAGCATAACTCCAGTGCTACTCTTTCCTTCCTGTTATCCTGTCTCTTTGTGCAACATGGTTTGAGTGCTGTGGTGAATTCAGTGGACCAGTCCTCTTTGCAGGAAAACAAGAGGACTCAACTAGCCTTAATATTTTTCTCAGAGAAGCCTGAAACTTCATCTGTAACGAAGACTTCATTTTTCTTGGAAACAATCTCATTCTACAGGTCTCCATGTGGCTTGGATAACATTGGAGTCGCAATAGTTCCATAAGGGTTCCACCACATTAACACAGCAATTATAGCAGCAGTGGTCACATGACCACCCTGGTCCAGTGATAATCATGATTAGGACTTTTGCTAATATAATTAGAAAAAAAGATGTTTTGTTTCCACCAATGTTTTTAGAGTAGGATGTAAGTGTGGAACTGATAGGTTCTAACTAGTAGAGAGCATCTGAGAATAAGTTTTTAAAAAAGGAAGCAGAATTAAGAAATAAAGAGTACTTTTATCATTATTGGATACCTTGGGTTGTTTGTTTGTTTTGAGAAATAGTCTCACTCCTACGCCCAGTGATCTCCACTCACTGCAGCCTCGACTTCTTGGACTCAGGTGATTGTCCCATCTCAGCCTCCTGAGTAGCTAAGATTACAGGGGCTCGCACCACCTCGCCCAGCTAATTTTTGTATTTCTTTTTCTTTTTCAATTTTTGTAGAGATGTGGTTTTGCCACGTTTCCCAGACTGTTCACTAAACTCTGGGGCTCAAGCAATCTGCTTAAGCTCGGGTTCCCAAAGTGCTGGGATTACAGGTGTGAGTCACTGCACCTGGCTATTGTTGATTTATTTTTGCTAGTATGTTGATATGAGAGTTTAATATACTTTATTTTGGGGTGAGTTTATTCCAATTGTGAGTGAATTATTTCATACATTTATACTATATTTTACCTAAAGTATTTCTACCTCCATATTCATATCCTTGGTCTATTCTATTTCCTATTGGGTTTCTGGTATTTTTCTTGCCGATTCTTAGTTTCTCTTTATGTATCTCTCAGTTTGACTTTAGTATTGTGACTTATTTCTTATATTCCTTTTTTCATACATACATTTAAAATTTTTATATAATCACAAATTTATAAACTGTCTTTTTTTATGGATTCTGGATTTTTTTTCTAGAAAAACCCTTTTCTACTCCAAGATTATAAAATAAATCCCTTCATGTTGTCCTCTAGTTTTATTTTGAGAGTGTGATATAATGAATATTTTCAAGGTCCAGCATTATTTTTACTTGGGTTTCAGTTGTCTAACTACTGTTTATTAATATATAGCTTTCTCATTAATTTTAAATGGCAGCTTTATTTTAATGTATTTTATGAAATCTTTACCTGTTTCATATATCTGCTTGCTGACTCTGTGCTAAGATCAAAAGTTTTTATTACTATATATTTGTAATGTGTTTTAATATAAATAGTATTTTATTTTATTTTACTTTATGTTATTTTATTTTATTTTTGAGATGGAGTCTTGCTCTGTCACCCAGGCTGGAGTGCAATGGCATGATCTCGGCTCACTGCAACCTCCGCCTCCCAGGTTCAAGTGATTCTCCTGCCTCAGCCTCCTGAGTAGCTGGGATTACAGGCACGTGCCATCATGCCTGGCTAATTTTTTGTGTGTTTTTGCAAAGACGGGGTTTCACCATGTTGGCTAAGCTGGTCTCAAACTCCTGACATCAGGTGATCCGCCCACCTAGGCCTCCCAAAGTGCTGGGATTACAGGAGTGAGCCACCACGCCCAGCCATAGAAACAGTATTCTTAATTATCATTTGTATTTATCATTATTTATTTCTATTTTTATAATTATTAGTTATTCCTACTCTTATATGTCTTCATATCGGAGGTTTAAAATCGATTTAAGTATCAAAGAAACAAAACAATCAACCATTATTTTATTAATCATACTAACTTCATAGATTAAATTGGAATAAATTAAGATGTTTACACCATTTATTCTTATTGACTAAAAACAATTTAGGAGTTTTATCTTCATTTGTTATTATATTAAATTAAAAATAACAAACTATTCATAGCTTCTCCTGTATAGAAATATGGTTGATTTTCCAAACCCTTGAATCTAGGTGGCTTGTGACTTAAAGTTCAATTGGCAAATTCTAGGCCTAAAATAGCCTTGCCACTTCACTCTGAGCCTCTTGGAATACTGCTGCCACATGCAAACAAGTCCAGGCTAGCATCCTGGAGGATGAGAGACCATAGAGAGACCTAGAAGAAGCCAACACCACATGGAGCAGAGTTGAGCTGCTCCAGCTGAGCAGGACCCAAACTGCCAAAAAAACAAACAGGAGCAAATATGTTATTGTTTTATTAAGCCATTAAGTTTTGAGGTGGTTAGTTACACAGTAATGAACCACTGATGGGTGTTTATGTTTTTTTTTCTAGGTGTCTTATTAAGTTTATTTATATAATTTATTTACATTTGTTTACTATTATAAACATAGAGGTCTCTAGTTCTAAGAGGTCATTATTTATAAATAAGAAAGCTAAGTATAATAATTTTGTTCCTATACAAATGAGTTTATTTAGTTCCTGACAGTGTTAAATTGACATACTTAGTTATTCCAGTTATATGATCTCATCATTTTTAAAATAAAAATTTTGCCTCTTAACAAAAATGTTTTATACATATAAATATAAATTTGTTGTTTGTTTACACTGATTAGTACTTCTAGAAAAAAGTTAAATAATAGCAATGGTGGCAATAGACCATCTTCTGAATGTAGTGACAAATATTCCAGTGTTCTGCTATTAAGTACTACAGTCGTAAACAAGTATCCTATTTTTAAGGTTTTTTTTTTCTTCTTCTTTTTCTTTCTTTTCCTTCCCCTCCTCTTTGGTACCTGATTCTTGTTAATGATAAAATAGTATCCTTTATGTTCTTTCTTTCCACTAGGTACTCCTTTGCACAATGTTTTCCTTATTTAATTATTCCTTATAAGTTTCAGAGATTAAATCTTGTAACAGTCCAGGCAGCAGTGGAATTTTCTTTCCTGAGTAATCTTCTAAACATTACTTATAACTGGCCGGGCGTGGTGGCTCACACCTGTAATCCCAGCACTCTGGGAGGCCGAGGCAGGCAGATCACAAGGTCAAGAGATCAGGACCATCCTGGCCAACATGGTGAAACCCTATCTCTACTAAAAATACAAAAATTAGCTGGGCATGGTGGCGCACGCTTGTGGTCCCAGCTACTTGGGAGGCTGAGGCAGGAGAATTGCTTGAACCCAGGAGGCAGAGGTTTCAGTGAGCCGAGATCGCACCACTGCACTCTAGCTTGGTGACAGAGTGAGACTCCATCTCAAAACAAAAACAAAAAAAAAGAAAAAAAAAAGATTACTCATTGCCAAGATGGCACCAGCCTATTCACCATGTGGGGTAATAACTCAAGGTAAGTCATCAGAACAAGCCATGTAGACCAACACCTCCTCGCTACTCTTACATGCCCCTCCTACTGTGTTTCCCCTTTTTAAGTACCTACACTCAACCCAGAACTCTGAAATGGTTTAAGGCAGGAGCCTAGACCACTCCCCCACTGCTAGCTTTGGTAAGTAAAATCACTCTCCTTTCATGGCGCTTCATCCTTGTCATTGGCATTGCAAGTGCTGAGCAGCTGAGCCTATGCTTGGTAACACAATGGAAGCATCCATCAATTGTTAGGTTGGCACATAAGTTAATGTGGTTTTTGCCATTACTTTTTGTGACAAAAAACACAATCTCATTTGCATCAATCTAATACTATTTTATTTAAAGTTAAGTGATTATAATAAAAAAATTTTCAACCCCATTAAAAAGTAGGCAAAGGACATGAGCAGACACTTTTCAAAGGAAGACATACATGTGGCCAACAAGCACATGAAAAAAAGCTCAATATCTTGGGAAGGTGAGGCAGGTGGATCACGAGGTCAGGAGTTTGAGACCAGCCTGGCCAACATGGCAAAACCCTGTCTCTACTAAAAATACAAAAATTAGCCAGGTGTAGTGACATGCGCCTGTAATCCCAGCTACTCTGGAGGCCGAGGCAGGAGAATCGCTTGAACCTGGGAGGCGGAGGTTGCAGTGAGCTGAGATCACACCACTGCACTCCAGCCTGGGTGGCAGAGCAAGACTCCATCTCTGAAGAAAAAAAAAAAGTTCAATATCATTAATCATTAGAAAAATGCAAATCAAAATCACAATGAGGTACCATCTCACACTGGTGAGAATAGGTATTATTAAAAAGGCAAGACCATACACAGTGGCTGATGCCTGTAATCCAGCACCTTGGGAGGCCAAGACAGGCACATCTATTGAGCTGAGGAGTTCAAGACCAGCCTAGGAAACATAGGGAAACCCAATCTCTTCAAAAAAAATACAAAATTAGCCAGGTGTGGTGGCATACGCTGGTAGACCCAGCTACTTGAAAGGCTGAGATGGGAGGATTACTTAGGTCTGGGAGGTTGAGGCTGCAATGAGCCAATATTACACTGCTGTACTCCAGCCTGGGCAACAGAGCCAGACCCTGTCTCAAAAAAAAAAAAAAAAGTCAATTAATAAATGTTGGCAAGGTTGTGGAGAAAAGGGAACATTCATACACTGTTGGTGGGAGTGTAAATTAGTTCAACTATTATGGAAGACAGTATAGTGATTTCTCAAAGAGCTAAAAGCAGAACTGCCATTCAACTCAGCAATCCCATTACTGGGTATATACCCAGAGAAATATAAATCATTCTACCATAAAGACACATGCACATGAACGTTCACTGCAGCACTATTCATAATAGCAAACACATTTAATGAGCCTAAATGCCCATCAATGGCAAACTAGATTAAAAATTGTGGCACATATACACCATGGAACACTATGTGGCCACAAAAAAAAAAAAAAAAAGAATGAGATCAGGTCTTTTGCAGGAGCATAGATGGAGCTGGAGGCCATTATCCTCAGCAGAGCAGGAACAGAAACCCAAACATCACATGTTCTCACTTATAAGTGGGAACTAAATGATGAAAACTCGTGAACACAAAGAAGGGAATAAAAGACACTGTGATCTCCCTGAGGCTGGACACCGGGAGGAGGGAGGGGAGCAGAAAAGATAACTATTGAGTACTGGGCTTGATACCTGGGTGATGAAATAATCTGTACAACAAACCCCCGAGACACAAGTTTACCTATGTAACAAACCTTCACATGTACCCCGAACCTAAAAAAAAGGGTAAAAAATATTTTTCAATATGCCGTGACCATCAATCTAGCTTTGCTATATATTTTTATAGTAGTTCTATGTATACATTTTGTTAGTGTATGTCTTATAATATAATATAGGTTATATGCACATATTTCTCCATATTAAATCCTTCTTTTTTTCTAGAAACAAACCCTGGTTTTCTACTGCATTTCCTAATTGTTGTTTTCTTGTTTTTGTTTTGCTCGAGTTCATTTTTTTGTGTCACTTTAAAATCAATATGTTAAAATTAGTTTTCTTTCTTTGTACTAAAATGTCTACTATTGATATCAAAGATGTTTGATTTTTAAAATATTTTAGAATATTTCCTTTGCTTTCAGTGCTCTTAACCAGTTTAAATAGCAACAACTTGATCAATTCCTTGAAATATTCATAAAACTTACCTGTAAAAACCTCTGGTTTGTGGCATTTTGCCCAGTATTAGAGATGCAGTAGTGAGGAGGAGGTGGTTTTCTTTTTGAACAGGTTTGTCTCAGGCAATTGATCTGTTTATGTTTTCTGTTACTTCATCTGTTAAATTTAGCAATTTGTATTTTCCTGGAATCTCATCTATTATATTCAGCTTTTGAACTGATCTGAAGAAAGTGGTGAATTGTTTAATTTTTTAATTTCCTTTGTATCTTTGGCTCTTTTTCATTTCCTCCCTAATCTTTTGTTTCTGTGCTTTCTTCCTTTTCTTCTCCTGATTAGTCTAGAGTCTATTGTTTTCAAATAGAACACAATTTGATTTATATTATTAATATCTTTTTTTTCAAATGTGGTATGGTCTTTTTTTAATTAATTCTATTATTTCACTTATTTACACTTTATGATTTATTTTTCAAACATTTTTAATTTAATGTTTAAATTATTTACTCTTTTTCTTCAGGCTCTCCCTCCCTCCCTCTTTTCCTCCTTCCCTCCCTCCCTTCCTCCTCTCTCTCCCATTCCCTTCATTTTTTTCTGGTCTGCTTGTTCTGAAATGTTTGCCGTCTTTATGGTATGATAGTTTTATGTCAAAATGAAAAAAAATCACACAATTCTGGAATAGCACTCTTAAAGTGACATCTTTCACATACTAAACTGCTATAATTCACATACTCATATTTCATACACCTTAAATAAGCATACATACTGTATACATAAGTATAAAATGAGTTTTTCTTACCAAGGATCAAGAAAGCCTCACACAGCATGTTCAATAAATGGTTGAAAATGGTTAATATTTAATTAATTTACATGAAGCCTGCATATTCAAAACATTAAGAAAGTTGTAATTCTAGCTTTTTTTTCTTATTTTACAAAAAACTTATTTATTTCTTATTATTTCTTACTTGTACAAAAAAATCTCATACCTTGGTTAAAAAGTTACAAATTTAATACAGAAGATAATCATCCTAAATAATAAAATACTGGAAAGAGAAAAGGAGAAATAACTATGCTTTCTGTCATTTTGTATTTTCCTGATGTTTCAGTTTTCTCTCTCTTCTGGCTAGAGAATTGCTTACAGGGAACACAGGCAATGCACAGAGGTATTTATTTCTTAAAGATATGCAAAACTAAAATTATCATTCCTTTTGGAATGATTAGGACAATAGTAAAACTAAAAATAAGTGAAGTCTCACAACACAGGTTTGAAGAAGGATTTCTTATTCTGAAGTTAAACAGAGAAGAGGAAGTAGTAGCCTGCTGGTCTTCAATTAACTCTCTATTCATTCATGTGGGGATGGCACAGAAAATATTTCCTAGGTTTTCTCTAACATTGCAGAACACGTCAACGATAGAAATAATTGTATGTACAGATAGATGAAAAAATACAATCTCCTTAGATGCAGTTTTTGGTTACTGGAAAGGCCATTTGTAAATTTCTTATTTATTCAGTTTCCTAGGCCATTTTTCAGGCTTGATGCAATTCCCTATCTTAAATTTTCTACCTAGCTTGTAAGAGCATTAAAACTTTCTCTGTTCATACATTTCACCACTGACATTTTAGACGTACTTGGGCATAAATTTCTACCCAGCGAGTCTCAGAAAAAATTTCAACTTTATTGCCCAAGGGTTTCTCCCCAAAGGAAAAGGCAGAATAAAGGATGGGCAGATTCCTCAATTATGTGTGTATCTATTTTAACAAGTCAGTGAGATATTATAAGTCGTCTGTCAACTGTTACTTGCAGTCCCTACCCACACTTAGGCTCCTCATCTTGTAAAATTTGCTCAGTTTGTGAATATTCTAATAGTTTGACATGTCATTGTAAGGATGATAAGTTAATATTCAAGTGGGGGTTCTTTTGTGAACAAAACAGAATTTTTATTGATATTTATGTTGGGACTATAACAAAATGTAGTAACATTTTGTTACTGTACTTCTTATCAAAGGAATACTATGGTTTGAATGCTTTTGTCCCCTCCAAAATTCATATGTTTGAAATGTAGTCACCAATTCAACAGTGTTGAAAGGTGGGACCTGATGGGAGGTGTTTAGATCACAAAGCCTCTGCCCTTGTGAACGGATTAACACCTTTATGAAAAGACCTTGTGAAAGGTTTGCTCTCTTGCCCTTCTGCCTTCCACCATGTTAAGATGCAGCAAAAAGGCCCTCAGCAAATGCTGACACTTTCATTTTGGACTTTCCAGTCTCTAGAACAGTGGCAAATACATTTCTGTTCTTCATCAATTACCTAGTCTAGTTATTGTTATAGTAGCACAGATGGATTAAGACAGGGCCATACACTGTGTATCAGTGGTTTGCCAAGTTTTGTATGCACCGGAATCATTTGGAAACTTCGGTAAAAGATTACTAGACTCCACCAGCAGAGCTTCCGGTTTTGTATGTGTCGTGGGTTAAATGGGAGGAATTTTTATCCTCCAAAAATTCATGTCCACCCCAGACCTCAGAATGTTCCCTAATTTAGAATAAGAATCTTTGCAAGCATAATTAAAATAAGGCCTTCAGGATGACGTCATCCTGAATTAGGGTGGGGCCAAAATCCAATGACTGGTGTCCTTATTAGAGAAAGAAGGGGGATACTTGAGATATGAAAACAGAGGAGAAACACAGAGAAGAAAGCCATGTAAAGACAAAGCATTGATTGTAGTAATGTGTTTGCAAGCCAAGGAGTGTGGAAAAAAAAGAAATAATGCCAGTAACCACCAGAAACTAGGAGAAAGGCATGGGAAGTTTTCTCCTTCAGAGGCTTCAGAACAAAGACTCCTGCTGATACCTTAATTGTGGACTTCTAGTTTCCTCTGTGTTTTGGGTAATTAGTTATGGCAGCGCTAGGAAACTAATACACTGGGTCTGCAATGAGGTCAGAGAATTTGCATTTCTTTTTTTTTTAATTCTTCTTTTTCTTTTTTTTTTGAGACAGAGTCTCACTTTGTCACCCAGAGTGGAGAGCAGTGGTGCCATCTTGGCTCACTGAAGCCTCAACCTCCCAGGTTCAAATGATTCTCCTGCCTCAGCCCCCCAAGTAGTTGAGACTACAGGCATGTGCCACCACACCCAGCTAATTGTGTAATTTTTGACGGGCTTTCATCATGTTGCCCAGGCTTGTGTCACCCTTCCCCCTGCCCCAGGCAGCTCAGCAGAGAGAAAGAGACTTTTCTTTGGAAAAAATTAAAGGAAGAGACCAGAAATCTCTGCTAGGTAATTCAAAGATTTCTACCAGATCTTATCCACCAAGAGGTACCACCAAGGAAGTACCTCTACAAGTCTGTCAGAGTCAACAGTGTTACTGGGATCGAGATGACACAAATGCAGATATGGCTTCAGTGACCAAAAATTTAGATCATAACACCAAAGAGACTCTGAATACCTGGAAAGCTTTTCTAAGAAGGATGAATATAAACAATCCTAAACTGCGAAGACTACAATAAATATCTGTATCTTCAATGCCCAGACACTGAATAACATCTGCAAGCATCAACACCATCCAGGAAAACATGACCTCACAAATTGAACTAAAGAAGGCACCAAGGACCAATCCCAGAGACACAGAGATATGTGACCTTTTAGAAAGAGAATTCAAAATAGGTGTTTTGAGGAAACTCAAATTCAATATAATACAGAGAAGGAATTCACAGTTCTATCAGATAAATTTAACAAAGAAATTGAAATAATTAGAAAAAATCAAGCAGAAATTCTGAAGTTTAAAAATGCAATTGACATACTGAAGAATGCATCAGAGACTCATAATAAGATAATTGATCAACCAGAATAAAGCATCAGTAAGCTTGAAGACAGGCTATTTGAAAATACACAGTCAGAGGAAACAGAAGAAAAAAGTATAAAAAAGAATGAAGCACACTTACAGAATAGAAAATAGCCCTATATGGGTAAATCTAAGGGTTATTCGCCTTAAAGAGGAGGTAAACAAAGAGATAGGAGTAGAAAGTTTATTTAAGGAAATAATGTCAGAGAACTTCCCAAATCTAGAGAAAGATATCAATATTTAAGAAAAAGAAGGTTATAGAACACCAAGCAGATTTAACCCAAAGAAGACTACCTCAAGGAATTTAATAATCAAACTCCCAGAGGTCAAAGATAAAGAAAAGATCCTAAAAGCAGCAAGAAAAAAAGAAACAAATAACATACTACGGAAGTCCAATAAGTGTGGCAGCAGACTTTTCAGTAGAAACCTTATAGGTAGAGACTGCCACAATGTATTTCAAGAGCCGAAGTGAAAAATGTTTTCCCCATAATAGCATATCCAGTGAAAATACTGTACAAACATGAATGAGAAATAAAGACTTTCCCAGAAAAATAAAGCCTGAAGGATTTCATCAATATCAGACCTGTCCTACCAAAAATGCTAAAGGGAGTTCTTAAATCTCAAAAACATGAATGCTACTGAACACTAAGAAACATCTGAAGGTTTAAAACTCACTGGTAATAGTAAGTACAGAGAAAAACAAAGAAGATTATAACTCTGTAATTGTGGTGTGTAAACTACTCCTATCTTAGGAAGAAAGATGAAAAGATGAAGTAATCAAGAATATTTACTGCCACTTCCCAAGACAGAGAGAGTATAATGAGATATAAATAGAAACAACAAAAAATAAGAAATAGGGGAACAAAGTTAAAATATAGAGTTGTTGTTAGTTTTGTCTTTGCTGGTTTGTTTGTACATGTAATCAGTGTTAAGTTGTCATCAGTTTAAAATACTGGGTTACATCAATGATAGACTGGATAAAGAAAATGTGGTACATATACACCATGGAATACTATGCAGCCATAAAAAGGAATGAGATCATGTCCTTTGCAGGGACATGGATGAAGCTGGAAGCCATCATCCTTAGCAAATTAACACAGGAACAGAAAACCAGACACTGCATGTTCCCACTCATAAATGGGAGTTGAACAAGGAGAACACATGGACACAGGGATGGAAACAACACACACCAGGGCCTGTTGGGGTGGGAAATAAGGGGAGGGAACTTAGAGGACGGGTCAAGAGGCGCAGCAAACCACCATGGCATACCTCTGTAACCAACCTGCACATTCTGCACGTGTATCCTGAAACTTAAAGTAGAATAAAAAAAATTAAAATAAATAAAATACTGGGTTATAAGATATTATTTACAAGCCTCATGGTAACCTCAAACCAAAAACATACAATAGATATATATTTTTGAAGCAGAAAATTAAAATATACTACCAGAGAAAATCATCTTCAGTAAGAGGAAGACAGGAGGGGAGATAAGAAGAAAGAGAAAATAACAAAAGAATCAGAAAAAAAAATGGCAGGAATAAGCCCTTACTTAATAATATTGAATGTAAATTAATTACACCCTCCAATCAAAAGACAAAAAGTAGCTGAATAGATTTAAAAAAAAAAAGACCCAAAGACCTGTTGCTCACAAGAAACACTTCACCTATAAAGACACACATAGAATGAAAAAAAGGATGGAAAAATTATTACATTCAAATGAATACCAAAAAGAGCAGTAGTAGTGTATTAGGGCACTCTGGAATTACTATAAAGAAATAGCTGAGAATGAGTAATTTATAAGAAAAGAGATTTAATTGGCTCACAGATCTATAGGCTATACAGGAAGCATGGCAGCCTCTTCTTCTGCAGTGGCTTTAGGGAGCTTTTACTCATGATGGAAGGCAAAGCATGAGCAGGCACTTCATATAGAGAAAGCAGAAGCAAGAGAGAGCAAGTGGTAGGGATATGCCACACAAACACTTTTAAATGACCAGATCTTATGAGAACTCACTCACTATTGTGAAAACAGCACCAAGCCATGAGGTATGTGCCTCCACGATCCAAATGCCTCTCAACAGACCCTACCTCTGGCATTGGGATTACAATTCAACATGAGATTTGGCAGGGACAAATATCCAAACTCTCTTATTCTGCCACTGGTCCTTCTCAAATCTCATGCCATTCTCACATTGCAAAATACAATCATGCTTTCCCAACAGTCCCACAAAATCTTAACTCATTTCAGCACTAACTCAAAAGTCCAAAGTCTCATCTAAGACAAGGCAAGTTCCTCAAGGATCTAGAACTAGAAATAAGAATAAATAAATAAATAATAAAAAATAAAACAAGAGGACTAAAGAAAAAAAATCAGGAAACAACAGATGCTGGAGAGGATGTGGAGAAATAGGAATGTTTTACACTGCTGGTGGGAGTGTAAATTAGTTCAACCATTGTGGAAGACAGTGTGTTGATTCCTTAAGGATCTAGAACTAGAAATACCATTGGACTCAGCAATCCCATTACTGGGCATATACCCAAAGGATTATAAATCATTCTATGATAAAGACACATGCACACGTATGTTTACTGAGGCACTACTCACAATAGCAAAGACTTGGAACCAACTCAAATGTCCATCAGTGATAGACTGGATTAAGAAAATGTGCACATATATACCATGGAATACTATGCAGCCATAAAAAGGGTGAGTTCATGTCCTTTGCAGGGACATGGATGAAGCTGGAAACCATCATTCTAAGCAAACTATCACAAGGACAGAAAACCAAACACCTCATGTTCTCACTCGTAGGTGGGGGTTGAACAGTGAGAACACATAGACACAGGGTGGGGAACATCACACACTGGGGCTGGTTGGGGGGTGTGGGGCTGGGGAAGGGATAGCATTAGGAGAAATACCTAATGTAAATGACCAGTTGATGGATGCAGCAAACCAGAATGGCACATGTATACCTATGTAACAAACCTGCACGTTGTGCACATATACACTAGAACTTAAAAAAACAAAACAAAACAAAAAGGCAAGGCAAGCTCACAGGCTTCCACCTATGGGCCTGTAAAATCAAAAGCAATTTATTTGCTTCCAAGATAGAATGAGAGTAGAAGCATTGGATACACATACCTGTTCCAAAAGAGAGAAATCAGCCAAAAGAAAGGGGTCACAGCTCCTATGCAAATTTGAAACTAAGCAGGGCAGTCATTAAACTTCAAAACTCCAGAGGAGTCTCCTTTGACTCCATGTCCCACATCCAGGGCATGCTGGTTCAAGGACTGGGCAGCTCCACCTCTGTGGCTTTGCAAAGTTCAGCCCCTGTGGCTGCTCTCTCAGGCTGTTGACAGCCTACAGCTTTCCAGGTGCAGGGTTCAAGCCGCAAGTGAATCTGCCATTCTGTGGTCCGGAGGAGAGTGGCCCCCTTCTCACAGCTCTGCTAGGCAGTGCCCACTGAGGACCCTGCACAGGGGCTCCAACCCCACATTTCCCTTTGGCACTACCCTAGCAGAGGTTCTCTGTTGAGGGCTGTGACCCTGTAGCAAGCTTCTGCCTGGGCACCCATGCTTTCTCACACATCCTCTGAAATCTAGGCAGATGCTCCTCAGCCTTCTTCATTCTTGCATTCTGTGCGCCTACAGGTGTAAGATCACATAGAAGCTGCCAAAAGGCTTATGGCCTGCATTGTCCAAAGTGTCAGCTAGAGAAATACTAAGCCTTTTTGAGCTGAGGCTAGAGTTGAAGCTGTCAGAAAGTGGGGAGCATTGTTCCAAGGCTGCCCAGGGCAGCAGGGCCCTGAGGCTGGCCCAGGGAACCATCTTTCCTTCTTAGGCCTCCAGACCTGTGGTAGAAGGAGCTTCTGTGAAGTTTCTAAAATGCCTTCAAAGCCCTTTTCTCCTTGCCTTGGATATTAGCACTTGGCTCTCTTTTAGATATGCAAAGATCTCTAGCAAGTGGTGGTTACACAGCCCACTTAAATTCCTCTTCTGAGAAAGCCTTTTCTTTCTCCGCCACATGGCAAGGCTGCAAGTTTTACAAACTTTTACACTCTACTTCCCTTTTAAATATATATTCCAAATTTAAGTCATTTCTTTGCTCCCACATCTAAGCATAGGTTGTTAGAAGCAGCCAGATTACTTTTTGAATGCTTTGTCGCTTAGAAGTTTCTTACACCGGACACTCTAAATCATCACTCTTTTATATATATAATTATACTTTAAGTTCTAGGTTACATGTGCACAACTTGCAGGTTTGTTACATATGTATACATGTGCCATGTTGGTGTGCTGAACCCATTAACTCATCATTTACATTAGGTATATCTCCTAATGCTATCCCTCCCCCATCCTCCCACCCCACAACAGTCCCCAGAGTGTGATGTTCCCCTTCCTGTGTCCAAGTGTTCTCATTGTTCAATTCCCACCTATGAGTGAGAACATGCGGTGTTTGGTTTTTTGTCTTTGCGATAGTTTGCTGAGAATGATGGTTTCCAGCTTCAACCATGTCCCTACAAAGGACATGAACTCATCATTTTTTACGGCTGCATAGTATTCCATGGTGTATATGTGCCACATTTTCTTAATCCAGTGTATCATTGTTGGACATTTGGGTTGGTTCCAAGTCTTTGCTATTGTGAGTAGTGCCACAATAAACATACGTGTGCATGTGTCTTTATAGCAGCATAAATCATCACTCTGAACTTCAAATTTCCACAGATCCCTAGGGCATGAATGCCATATAGCCAAGTTCTTTGCTAAGGTGTAACATATGTGACCTTTGCTCCCGTTCCCAATAAGTTCCTCATTTCCATATGAGACCTTGGCAGCCTAGTCTTCACTATGCATATCACTATCACGCATTTTGGTTACAACCATTTAACCAGTCTCTGGTTAGATCCAAACTTTTCCTCATCTTCCTATCTTCTTCTGAGCCCTCCAAACTCTTCCAACCTCTGTCCATTACCCAGAACCAAAGCTGCATCCATATTTTCAGGTGTCTTTGTAGCAATACCTAACTCCTTGGTTCCAATTTTCTGTTTTAGGTCATCCTTGAATTGCTATAAAGAAATACATGAGACTAGTTAATTTATAAGAACAGTGGCTTAATTGGCTCATGGCTCTGAATGCTATACAGGAAGCATAGCAGCATCTGCTTCTGGGGAGGTTTCAGGGAGCTTTTACTCATGACAGAAAATGAAGCAGGAGTAGGCATTTCACATGGTGAAAGTAGGAGCAAGAGAGAGTGGAAGTGAAATATCACACACTTTTAAATAACCAGATCCTGCAAGAATTCACTCACTATCATAAAGACAGCATCAAGTCATGAGGGATCTTCTCCCATGATCCAAACACCTCCTACCAGGCCCCAACTCCAGCACTGGGGAATAGAGTTCAACATGAGATTTGGGCAGGGACAAATATCTAAACCATATCAAGTAGATATGCTTATATCAGACAAAATGGATTTCAAGACAAAAACCATACAAGGACAAAGAAGGTCATTATATAATAATAAAGGGGTCAATTTAGCAACAGGATATAACAATTGAAAACACATGTGTACCCAACAATGGAGCACCCAGATACATAAAACAAATATTATTAGAGATAAAGCGATAGACCCCAGTACAACAATAAAGACTTCAACACCCCAGTTTTAGCATTAGACAGATTATCCAGACAGAAAATCAACAAAGAAATATTGATATTTATCTGAGTATAGACCAAGCGAACCTAATTGATATATACAGAATACTTCATCCAATGGCTGTAGAATACATACTTCTCTTCAGAACATGAATCATTCTCAAGGATAGACCATACATTTGGCCACAAAACATGTCTTTAAAAATTCAAAAAATAAAATAATATCAAGTATCTTTTTCTGACCACAGTGGAATAAGACTAGAAATAAATAACAAGAGGAATTTGAAAACTATGCAATTACCTGGAAATTAAATGATACGCTTCTGAATGACCAGTGGAGCAATGAAGAAATTAAGAGGGAAATTTAAAAAGTTATTGAAACAAAACATGGAAACACAACATACCACAACTTATGGGATACTACAAAAGCAGTACTTAGAGAAAAGTTTATAGCTATAAGTACCTACATAAAAAAGTATAGAAATTTCAAATAAACAACCTAACAATACGTTGTAAAGAACCCAATTCAACAATACATTAAAAAGCTAATTCATCATGACCAAGTGAGATTTATTCCTGGGATGAAAGGATAATTCAACATATACAAGTCAATCAGTGTGATATATCATATCAACAGAATGAAGGACAACAACCATATGATTATTTCAATTGATGCTGAAAAGCTGATAAAATTCTACACCCCTTTATGATTAAAATACTCAATAAACTGGGTACAAAAAGAACATACCTCAAGATAATAAAAACCGTATACAACAGACTCATAGCCAGTATCATACAGACTGGGAAAAACTGAAAGCCATTCCTCTAAGACCTAGAACATAACAACGATGCCCACTTTTATCACTGTTTCAGCACAATACTGGAAATCCTAGCTAGAGCAATCAGACAAGAGAAAGAAATAAAGGGCATCCAAATTAACAATGCAGAAATCAAATTATCCTTGTTTGCAGATGATATTTGTATTTGGAAAAACCTAAAGACTCCACCAAAAACTGTGAGAGCTCATAAACAAATTCAGTAAAGTTGCATGATAAAAAAATCAACATATAAAATTCCATAACATTTCTATATGCCAACAGCCAATAATCTGAAAAGAAATCAAGAAAGTAATTTCATTTACAATAGCTACAAATAAAATAAAATACCTAGAAATTAACCAAAGAAGTGAAAGATCTCTACAGTGAAAACTATAAAATACTGAAAAACAAATAGAAGGGGACACACAAAAAATGGGGAGATAGTCCCTTTTTATGGATTGGAAGAATCAAATTGTTAAAATATCCATAAGCCCAAAGCAATCTACAGATTCAATGCAATCTCTATCAAAATACCAATGACATTCTTCATGGAAATATAAAAAAAAAAAACTTAAAATTTATATGAAGCCACAAAAGACCCAGAAATGCCGAAGGCATCCTGCACAAAAAGAACAAAACTGGAAGAATCACATTACCTGACTTCGAATTGTACTAAATAGCTATTGAGACCAAAACAGCATGGTACTGGCATAAAAACAGATGCATAGATCAATGCAACAGTATAGTGAACACAGAAACAAATCCATGTACATATAATAAACTTGTTTTCAACAAAGGTGTCAAGAACATGTATAGAGAAAAGACAGTCTCTTCAATAAATGTTTCTGTGAAAACTGGATATCCATGTTCAAAAGAGTGAAACTAGACCCTTATCACTTGCCATACACAAAAATCAAGTCAAATGTATTAGAGACTTAATTCTAAGACCTCAAACTATGAAACTACTAAAAGAAAACTTTGGGGAAATTCTCTAAGACAGAGAATCTCCATCCTAGAATTCTCTAGGACTGGTCAATGATTTCTTGAGTAATACCCCACAAGCACAGACAACCAAAACAAAAAATGACAAATGGGATTACATCAAGTTAAAAAGCTTCTGCACAACAAAAATAACAATCAACAATGTGAGGATACAACTCACAGAATGGGAGAATACATTTGCAAACTACCCATCTGACAGAGGCTAATAACCAGAATATATAAGGAATTCAAACAACACTATAGGAAAAAAAATCTAATAATTTGATTAATTAGCAAAAAATCTGAATAAACATTTCTCAAAGGGAGACATAAAACTGTCATACAGGTATATGAAAAGGTGTTCAACATCATTGATCATCAGAGAAATGTAAATCAATAGTAGTATGAGAGGCCGTGGCTCACACCTATAATCCAGACACTTTGGGAGCCCGAGGCAGATGAATCACTTGAGGTCAGAGTTTGAGACCAACCTGGCCAACATGGCAAAACCTTGTCTCAACTAAAAATACAAAAATTAGCCAGGTATGGTGGCACACGCCTGTAATCCCAGCTACTCAGGAGGCTGAGGCAGGAGAATTGCTTGAACCTGGGAGGTGGAGTTTGCAGTGAGCCAAGACGGCACCATTGCACTTCAGACTAGGCAATACTCTGTCTCAAAAAAAAAAAAAAAAGTACAAGATACCATCTCATCCCAGTTAAAATGGCTTTTATTAATAAGACTAGCAATAACAATTAACAAATGCTGGAGAGGTTGTGGAGAAAAAGGAACCCTCCTATACTGTGGGTGGGAGAATCCCACCCACTGACTCGTTGTTGTACTAACTAGTGGGTTGTACTGACCCACTAGTACAACCACTAACTATGGAGAACATTTTAAAGCTTCCTTAGAGAGCTAAAAATAGAACAACTATATGATCCAGCAATCTTCTGCTATGTATATCACCAAAAGAAAGGAAATCAGTATATCAAAGAGATAACTGTATTCCCATGTTTATTGCAGCATCATTCACAGTAGACAAGATTTGGAAACAACCTAAGTGTCCATTGACAGATAAATGGATAAAGAATGTATGAATGGTACATATATACAATGGAGTACTATTCAGCCATAAAAAATGATATCCTGTCATTTGTGGCAAAATGGCTGGCACTGGAGGTCATTATGTTAAGTGAAATAAGCGAGGCACAGAAAGACAAACTTCACATGTTCTCACTTATTTGTGGGAGCTAAAAATTAAAACAATTGAACTCATCAAGACAGAAAGTAAAAGAATGGTTATCAGAGATTAGGAAGTGTAGTGGGGGTGGAATGGTGGGGTGCAGATGGTTAATGGGTACAAAAAAAATTAAAAAATTAGTAAGATCTAGCATTTGATAGCAAAACAGGGTGATTATAGTCAATAATTTGATTTTACATTTAAAGATAACTAAAAGGGTATAATTGGATTGTTTGCAATACAAATGATAATGATATAATTACACATTGCCTGCCTGTATCAAAGTATCTCATATATCCCATAAATATGTATACTATGTACACATAAAAGTTACAAATTATGTATTATTAAAACTCTTTGTAACAGCAGCCCACAATGTTTTTGGGAAATTACCCTCAATGTTGTGTATAGTTGAGCCTGGACAGTATTTCCTGGCACTATGGAATCTTTGGGGATCAGATATTTCCTTAGAATGTGATCTAAACTCCTTTTTTCAATCATTATTCAGAAATTTGAAACAGAATTAAGTGCTATGTGAAGGAAGGATAACTGGAAGTAACAATCATTGAATTTACCAATGTGGTGACTTACTGTACATGTTGTTCCTTTCTTTGATGGCCTTTTAGGAGAGTTTAGGTTCTGGTCATTCCCAAAGCTGTTCTCTATCCCCAAGGCCTTGTGCAAGGTCCCTCATGAGACCAGGTAGAATGCATAAGATAAATGCATTACGTAAAAATTGATAAGTCATATACAATGAAACACAAATATCATCTCATACATTAAAAAGTTAATGTCATTTGGTAAAAAAGCAAAATTCCAGGAGGTAATTAGATCAACATAAGTACTTAGATTATTTTGAATTCTGTGGTGAAATAATGCTGGCTAGTAAGAAAAGAAATAAGTGTACCTGACAGACATGTGGTAAATAAGATGGCTCAATTATGTTGAAATGGGATTCAAACTTGGCCAAATTGGAAAGATGCTCCAAGTGTGCCTTTGTATACCTGCCTCCCCACATCAATTATATTGTAATAAGAAACTCATATGCAAGTGAAGTAAACAGCATATTCGGATTGGGTTACCCATCTGTCACCTTTGAGGGAAGTCCAAGGAAGTGTGAAATGTTTCTGAAGAACACACAAGTAAGAAATGGCAGGAGAAAGAGCTGTGTGGGTTGTAAATAAAAGAAACGATGCTGAATTTCCAAATTGAGTTGTTTTTGCACTCTGATTCCTCTTGAGAACTTAGGATAGATAGTGTCAACTTTCTATGTTCCCTTCATGTTCTACCTGGTGGCCACTGCAGCACAGGAGAGAATGCCAGGACTGGGAGGAGATGGAGTCACTCATCTACTGCAGTGGCTTGTGTAAATTTCCTGTGGTTTCTAATAAATTTGTCAACCTGTTACCTTGATTGTTCTTACTGTTCCTTGCTGTCATCAGAAATGTTGACAGCTTCTGCCTAATAGTCTAAGGACTGAAAAAATAAAATTTATAAACATCTAATAAAAAAAGAATATTGACACCATTAGAAGGAATAAGGATGGATCATAAGTAATTTCAGCTTTTGCTTAATTTAGCCACAAATTGTGCTTTTTACATCTCAGATCAACAGTTTTATTTTTTAACTGTTTGGAGATAATAAATGTGGAATTTCCTGAGAGGAGACTGTAAATGTTGAGGCCCCCTTTTAGAAATTCCTTTATAGTGGCATCCAACAACGGTTTTTGAAAAAGCTACCCCAAACTGGAGATGTAAAATAGCAAATAATTTGTTCTCTCGTGAGCTACTAATTACGTTGAATATCTAAAGGAGTATTTGATAGTTAGATACATGCATTTGTTAATGTGGACCAGACTGGAAGGGCTAGAGAATGAAAGGGCATACCCTTACGAACTTGCAAATTGGTCCAAGTGACTTAATTATAAACAGATGAGAAAAAGTCCAGCCACTCAGGTCCTCCTTGATATGCAATTAAAATAAAATTGGTACTCAGTCTGTTTTTTTCTGTCATTAATCCAATAAATATTTACTACTTCATAAGAAACAATGAACAAAAGAGTGTGTCTTTATGCTGAACTTATAAATTGATGAAAGTACATTTTAAACCCCTAAAAAATGGATAAGGAGGCAACATTTGGGAAGAGATCTAACTGAAAAGTTTCAGCCAAACAGAGAAGTCATTATGTAAGCAGGCAGAGAAAACACTGCATAGGAAGGCCTTGAAAAGAAACTATATCTAGCATTTCAAATAACAGCAGGTAGTCAGGATGCTTAAATAGATATTAATATGAGAGATCTAGCCAGGGCACAGGTCTACATTCCAGGCTGCTTAGATTATGCTAAGGACTTTGACTCAAACCACTAGAACATGCTGTGGACTAAATTGTGTTCCCTCAAAATTTAATAGCCCCAATTCTCATTAAGACTGTATTTGGAGATAGGGCCTATAAGGAGGTAATTAGGATTAAACATGTTCATAAAATGAAGATCCTAATATGATGGGATTGGTAGCTTTATTAAAAAAATTAAGAGTTTCCCTTTCCCCCACCACACCCACACCCACACTCACACCCACACACAGTGTACACGTGCACGTGCACCCAAAAAAGGCCATGTGAGGACATGGCATGAAGGCAGCCATCTACAAGCCAGGAAGAGAGCCCTTATCTAGACCAGAATTAGCTGTAACTTTGATGTCCAGAACTGCATGAGGATACATTTCTGTTGTTTCTCACACAGTTGGCATTACTTTGTTATGGCAACATGAAAAGGCTAATAGAGAATACATCCCAAGAAATCTGAATATAACACACTCTCCATATACTTTCTAGACAAACAACAGGCAGCCTTCTAAATCGTACTGAACATCCCCCCAACCCCAGGATAGGTGATTGGAGGCAGTATTAGCATGTCTCTCCCACTTGGAAAGACAAAATAGTACACAGATACTCCCACTGTGAGATTTTGTTTCTAAGAAGAAATGCAAGAACTTAATAGGAAAACAGAAATCCATAGACCCTCTGAAAGAAGCAGCAGGCTGCCACCTACACCATGAGCAAGCAAAAAAACTAAGTCCTCAGAGTATGAGAGGGGGATAGACTGCCCAGACCTAGGGAAGGCATTCTTTATTCTGCCTCACAGGGGACCTCACAGAGGTCTCTCAACTAACTCAGGCACCAGTAGCACGTTGAAAGAATCTCCCAAATGAATTTTGCGATATAAACTCAAATGGGGAAGAACTCCCTTGCTCAGAACCCATGAGTGAGTGGGAAGTGTGCTGCAACCAAGACCACAGGAGCTCTGCACCCTGGATGTGCAGGCAGACTGGGAAGGGCATAGCATGAAAGCCATGGTTGTCCATCAACAAGTGGGCAAAGGATATGAATAGACACTTCTCAAAAGAAGACATTTATGCAGTCAAAAGACACATGAAAGGATTATAAATTATGCTACTATAAAGACACATGCACACGTATGTTTACTGCGGCACTATTCACAATAGCAAAGACTTGGAACCAACCCAAATATCCAACAATGATAGACCAGATTAAGAAAATGTGGCACATAATACACCATGGAATACTATGCAGCCATAAAAAATGACGAGTTCATGTCCTTTGTAGGGACATGGATGAAGCTGGAAACCATCATTCTCAGCAAACTATCGCAAAGACAAAAAACCAAACACTGCATGTTCTCACTCATAGGTGGGAACTGAACAATGAGAACACATGGACACAGGAAGGGGAACATCACACACTGGAGCCTGTTGTGGGGTAGGGGGAGTCGGGAGGGATAGCATTAGAAGATATACCTAATGTTAAATGACGAGTTAATGGGTGCAGCACACCAACATGGCACGTGTATACATATGTAACACACCTACATGTTGTGCACATGTACCTTAAAACTTGAAGTACAATTAAAAAAAAAAAAAAAGAAAAGAAAAGAAAGCCATGGTTGCTATCTCTGCAGGGAGAGTTTATGGCCTGGGGCAGTTGTGAGTTCTGAGCATAGATCGCCTGGAACTTAGTTCTCTACTGCTAGAGAAAAATTGCATCTGGGAGATCTGCCTTGCCAAGTCCCTAGATGGGTTTACTGCCACTTGCTACTTCCCACTCCCTACACAAACTCTTCTGCAGCAGAGGCAGCTACGCTCTTCTCTGGAATATTACCCCAGTGGCCAGAGAACTGCCCTCCTGACTCCCACAGGGGCCACTGCTTACCTTGCATGCTGAGAGCCTGAGTGTAAACCTGCCTGACCCAGCCCCCACCTGGTTTTGCCCTTGCACCCACCCTGGTAGCTTAACACAAAGGACAAACCTTTCGGGAGCTTTATGACTCTGCCTATCATCTGAGAAACCAGTGTACCTCCCCTGGGTTACATAAGGCAATCACAAATCTGACCAATACTACTAGGTGCTCTTTTAAAAGTGTCAGCTCTTGGCTGGAAACCAACTGACACAGTCCACTACAGCATTTCCAGGTAGAAAAACACTATACCCAGGAAGGAGAGAACCTGTGTGCAACCTAAATTACCACCATTGCCTTCACAATCCTGGCTAATCAGGAGGTCCTAAGTCTGTCTACCTCATAGTTCATCACTACAATAACTGGCATTTGAGAAAGTCAGCAAACTAAGCCTATCTATAACCAAGGAATCTCACAGAGTCTATGTCACTCCCCTGTCATCCCTATCAGAGCGGGTGCTAGTACCTACTGCTGGGAGACTTAACAACAGGCCACATCTCAGGATCCCTTGCAGACATTCACCAGCACCAGCCTGGAGTGTGGTGGCCTTAGTGGGTGGCTACACCCCAAAGAGCAACAGCATTCACAATAGTCTGGCTCTCTGGAACTTCTATTTCCTAGAGGAAGGAGAGGGCCCCAAATCAAGGGGACATCCTATGGGACAAAACCCAGATGGCAGACCTTGAGTCCCAGACCTTTCTGCTGGTGGCAAGTTTCTTCCAGTGGAGCCACAGTTGCAGTGCTAGGCTCAGCTGAGAAAGTCTTCAGTTCTACCACAATGCTCGGGAAGCTCTGTTACTCATGAAATGTCTTAGAGAATGGGACAAGTTTCCCATTTGTCCACCACTGCAGACACAGTTGGGGTTTTCCCATAGGAGCTCAGTGTGGGTGCACCTAGAGACAGATGTTCTGCGACACCTCAGGGGGGATGCATCCCCACAGGAGAAATGCCTCCAAGTGCAGGTTTACATGAGAGGTAGAACCACAGTTTCTTTCTAGTTGAAACACCAACATTCCCACAGATGTAAAAAAGGTACCTGTCTGATCTGAATAGCTGGAACACCAGGTCAGGAGTGTGTCTTGGTGAGGGAAAGACTTCCTGCTGTCCTGGCAGAGAAGCTGAGGTAAATCTGGTCCTTCCCACTGATAAGACCTCAGTGTGTTTCACTGAGAGCTCTCCCAGCCACCTCCGTCCTCTGCCCAGACATTGGATACTGCATTTACCCACCTGCTTTAACAACATCTGGTTTCTACCTGTAGACACATCCCTTATTGGGCTGAAGCCTGAACTATTCAACCCAGTAAATAAAATCCTGGGGAAAAATTAATAAATAAAAAAGTAAACATCATGGGGGAATGAAATAAGCTTTGAGAGGCATTTCCTACAGGAAACAGTGAACTTGCTCACACAGTGAGCACATTGCTACTATAATCAGCACCCGAGAAGGCCATCATACAAAGACCTATAACCAAGGAATCCATACTGAGTCTTCACCCTAGAAAGCACCAGTACCTAAGTTAGGTTTCAATAAACTATAAATGTTAAAGTCACATCCATAAAAAGGAAAAAAATAAAAGAAGTCAAAAGTAAATTCAAGAATAATGTGAAGAAATAGTCTACCCAAATGAGAAGAAACCAGAAAAATAATTCTGATAATAGGACAAAACAGAATTCTATAATACCCCCAAAAGATCACACTAGCCCTCCAGCAAATAAAGCAAACCAATATGAAATCTTTGAAATACCAGATAAAAATTTCAAAAGGTTGATTATTAAGCTACTCAAGGAAATACCAGAGAAAGGTAAAAACCAACAGAAAGAAATTAAAAAAAATTCAGAATATGAATAACAAATTTTCTAGAAAGATAGATATCTTAAAAAAATCAGAACTTCTGGAAATGAAATACACACTTAGTAAATTACACAATGCAAAGGAAAGTAGAAGAAAGAATTTCAGAACTCTAAGACAAGTTTTCAAATTCACCTAATAAGACAAAAATATTTCCGAATTCATCTAATAAGACAAAAATAAAGAAAAAAGAATCAAGAGAAATGAAGGACATCTCTAAGAATTATGAGATTATGTAAAATGGCAAAACCTAAGAATAATTGGTATTCCTGAGGGAAAAGAGAAAGCAAAAAGTTTGGAAATCTTTTTTCAGGGAATAATTGAGGAAGACTCCCTGGCCTTGCTAGAGATTTAGATATTAAAATACAAGAAGCTTAAAGAACACCTGGGAGATACATTGCAAAAAGGTCATCATCAAGACATACAGTCATCAGGCTATATAAAGTCAACATGAAACAAAGAGTTCTAAAAAAAAAGTGAGAAAAACACATGAGGTAACCTATAAAGAAAAATCTACCAGACTAACAGCAGATTTACAACAGAAATCTTATAAGCCAGAAGGGACTGGGGTTCTATCTTTGTCCTGTTGAAACAAAATAACTGTAAACCAAGAGTGTTGTATCAGGCAAAGCCAAGTTTCATAAATGAAGGACAAATAGGTCATTTTCAAACAAACAACTACTGAGGGAATTTGTTGTTATCAGAGCAGCCCGATAAAAAAAATGCTAAAATAAGTTATAAATCTTGAAACAAAAGCTCAATATACACAAAAATAGAACCTCTTGAATGCACAGAACTCACAGAGCCTATAAAACAATAACACAATAACAGTAACTAAAAAAGTATCTGGAAAACAATTGACATGATGAATACAACAGTACCTCACACCTCAGTATTAACATTAAATGTAAATGGCCTAAATGCCACACTTAAAAGATACAGACTAACAGAATGGATAAAGAATCACAAACCAAATATCTGTTGTCTTCAAGAGACTTACCTAACATGTAAGGATTCCTATAAACTCAAGATAAAGGGGTAGAAAAAGGCATTCTATGTAACTGGAAACCAAAAACAAGACAAACTGAAAAAACAAAAACAAATCAACACCAAAAACAAGCAAGAGTAGTTATTCTTATATCAGACAAAGCAGACTTTAAAGTAACAACGGTAAAAAAAAAAAAAGGCAACTGTCATTATATAATGATAAAAGGATCAGTCCACCAAAAAGATATAATCCTAAACATATATGCACCTAAATCTGGAGGTCCCAGATTCATAAACCAATTACGACTAGACCTAAGTAATGAGATAGACAGGAACATAATAATAGTTCAATACTCCAGTGACTGCACTAGACAGATTATTGAGACAGAAAGTCAACAAAAAGACAATGGGCTTAAACTACACTCAGGAACAAAGTGACCTAACAGATATTTACAGAACCTTGTACCCAAGACCTCCATAATATACATTCTTCTCATCACCACATGTAACATTCTCCATGATAGAACATATGACAGGCCACAAAACAAGTCTCAATAAACTTAAGAAAATTGAAATCATACCACGTTATCTTCTCAGACCACACTGGAATAAAACTAGTTATCGACCCAAAAGGAACCCCTAAAACTATACAAATACATGGAAATTAAACAATCTGCTCCTGAATGATTTTTGGGTTAACAATGAAATCAAGATGGAAATTAAAAAAAAATTCAAAATGAATGATAATAGTGACACAAGTTATCAAAATCTCTGGCATACAGCAAAAGCAGTGTTAAGAGGAAAGTTTATAGTGCTAAATGCCTATATCATAAAGCCTTAAAGATTATGAATCGACAACATAATGTCACACCTCAAGGAAGCAGAGAAACAAAGCAATCTGAACTCAAAGCTAGTAGAAGAAAAAAAACAGTAACAAATATCAGAGCAGACCTAAATGAAACTGAAACAAAAAACACAATAAAAAGATCACTGAAACAAAAAGGTGGTTCTTTGAAAAGATAAACAAAATTGACAGACCATTAGCTTGGTTAACCAAGAAGAGAGAAGATTCAAATAAGTGCACTTAGAAATGAAACTGGAGACGTTACAACTAACACCACGGAAATACGATCATTTATTACTACTATGAACACCTCTATGCACACAAACTAGAAAAACTGTAGGAAATGTAGGAAATTCCTGGAAACATATAATCCTCCCAGATTAAATCAGGAAAAAGAGAAACTCTCAATGGATCAATAAACATAAAGATTGAATCAGAAAAAAAAAAAAAAAAAAAACCTACCGCCACCACCAAAAAACCCCAAGACCAGATGGATTCGGAGCTCAATTCTACCAGATGTCCAATTGGTACCAATTCTACTGAAACTATTCCAAAAGATTAAGAGGGAATCCTTTCTAAATCATCCTTGTAAGCTAATTTCACCCTGATACTAAAACCATGAATTAACATAACAACAAAAAAAGAAAACCACAGACCAATATCCCTGATGAACATAGATTAAAACAAACAAACAAACAAAAAAAGAAACCTCAATAAAATACCAGCTAATGAAATCCAACAGCACATCAAAAAGATAATACACCATGATCAAGTGGGTTTGATCCCAGAGATGCAGGGATGGTTTAACATATGCAAGTCAATAAATGTGATATATCACAAAAGCAAAATTGAAAACAAACCATATGATCATCTCAATAGGTGCAGAAAAGCATTTGATAAAATACAGCATCTCTTTGTGATAAAAAGCCCTCAGCAAACTAAGCATAGAAGGGACTTACCTTGAATTAATTAATAAAAGCCCTATATAACAGACTCACAGCAAACATCATACTGAATAGAGAAAAGTGGAAAGCAATGCCCCTGAAAACTGGACAAGACAAGGATACCCAAGTTCACCACTTCTATTCAACATAGTATCTGACATCCTAGCCAGAGCTATCAGGCAAGAGAAAGAAATAAAGGACATTTACAGTGGAGAAAAGGTAGTCAGACTATCACTATTCACTGATGATATGATTATATACCTAGAAAACCCTAAAGGTTGCTCAAAAAGCCTCCTAGATTTGATAAACACATTGGATAATATCTCAGGTTACAAAATCCATGTACACAAATCAGTAGCACTGATATACACCAACAACGACTAAGGTGAGAACCAAATCAAGAACTCAATCCCTTTTACAACAGCTGCAAAAAAATAAAATACCTAGGAATTAACTTAACCAAGGAGGTGAAAGACCTTTACAAGGAGAACTACAAAACACTGCTGAAAGAAATCACAGATGACACAAACAAATGAAAACATATCCCATGCTCATGGGTTAGAAGAATCAATACTGTGAAAATGACCATACTGCCCAAAGCAATCTACAGATTCAATGCAATTCCCATAAAAATATCAGCATCATTTTTCACAGAATTAGAAAAAAAAATCCTAAAATTCATATGCAACTGAAAAACAGCCCAAGAGCCAAAGCAATTCCAAGTAAAAAGAACAAATCTAGAGGCATCACATTACCAGACTTCAAGTTACGCTACAAGGCTATAGTTACCCAAACAGCATGGTACCAGCATAAAAGTAGGCACATAGACCAATGGAATAGCATAGCAAACCAAGAAATAAATCCAAATACTTACAGCCAACTGATCTTTAGCATAGGATACAAAACATAAATTGGGGAAAGGACACTCTATTTAATAAATGTTACTGGGAATGCTGGCTAGCCAACATGCAGAAGAACGCAACTGGATCCCGATCTCTCACCCTACAGAAAAATAAACTCAAGATGGATCAGAGTTAAATCTAAGACTTGAAACCATAACAATTCTAGAAAATAACCTTTGAAAAATTCTTTTAGATGATGGCCTAGGCAAAAAAAAAATATGACTAAAACCCCAAAATCTAATGCAGCAAAAACAAAAATAAATATTCAAGACCTGATTAAACTAAAAAGCTTCTGCATGCAAAAGAAATAATCTTCAAGAGTGGACAGACAACCCACAGAATGGGAGAAAATATTTGCAAACTGTGAATTCAATAAAGGACTAGTATCTGGAATCTACAAGGATCTCAAACATATCAGCAAGAAAAAACAAATAATCTCATCAAAAATTGGGCAAATGATATGAATATACTTTTCTCAGAAGAAGATACACAAATGGCCAACAAACATAAAAAATGCTCAACATCAATAATCAACAGTGAAATGCAAATTTAAAACACAATGAGATAACATCTTACTCCTGCAAAAATGGCCATTATTTTAAAAAGTCAAAAACAACAGATGTTGGCCTCGATGTGGTGAAAGAGGAATGCTTATATGCTGCTGGTGGAAATGTAAATTAGCATAATCTCTACTGAAAACAGTATTTAGATTCCTTAAGGGACTAAAAGTAGATCTACCATTTGATAAAGCAATCCCACTACTGGGTATCTATCTACCCAATGGAAATAAGTCATTACATGAAAAAGATTCATGCACACATGTTAATTTCAGCACAGTTCACAATTTCAGAGATTCATTCATGTAACCAAAAGTCACTTGTACTCCAATATCTATTGAAATAACATCAATAAATACTGAAATGTCAAAGTGAAATCTCCTAACTACATCTCACTATAGCCACAGATTTCCAACATTACTTCATTTTTGTTATACTTTGGATGACTTTTTACCCAGACTCCTTTGTCCCATTTTTTAAAAGGACAGACACGGTACATTGAGCTTAATTTTAATGTTCTCTCTAAAATGCTAATAATTATGGCTCAATTATTACAGTGGTTTTCTTGTTGGAGTTTTCTCCCTTTAGCTGCTCTAAATTGTGAGTGGTATAGAGTCACAGAGCTTACTTGATTATTCACCCAGTCCACTGCTGATGCTACGTGTTTCTTCAGGACCTGTCCTTTAGAATACTTCCCAGAGGCAAGCACATGGTTGCCTATATTAAAGCCACCTGTATATCACTTGCTAAGTCCTCTTTGTCAACACTTGCCCTCATTGTGACTACAGAATCACTTTTTCTAGTTTTTAAAATTGTTATCGTAAGACTGTGCTTGGAAATATTCCCAGGGATTAGTATGATGATTTTGTTGGGGTGTTTGGAGATACATTTGCCAATGCTGTACATGTAAAATTTCCATGACAACTTATAAAATAAATACTTTGATCTCTTTATCAGCCATCAATGTTAACATATAAAATCAGCTGAATTAAAGTTAAGACTATGTAAACAGATGACTAGAACCTCTTCTTAAGTAAAAATATGTGTGGTTCCCTTAATTACTTGTCATTGGAAATTTGTAATTCCTTTCAATTTTCTGAACATATGCACAATTTTACTATTCTAAAAAAATAACTATTCATAACTACTCACTTATTTTCTCCTTTCACGCACTTCTAATTTTTGGAAGAAGTGATGGGCATTTGTTCCCTATAACTCTTGCCATCTATATCCACCTGGATCCGTAGCAATTTGGGTCTTATCTGAACTACTACGATGAACTGCACTCAAAATTACATTTGATGTGATACACACAGTAACTCAATTCTTTCTTTGCTTTCATCTTTTGCAATCATCTACCTCCCTATGCAGTCTGGACAAATACTGTCAAATTCCTAACAGCATCATCATTAGCACTGTTGAAATCCTTCCATCATTTAGTAGATGCTAAGCCTGTGTTGTCCTTCATTGCCCTGAGATGCTATGCAGTTTATCTGCTTGCACACTTCAGATGCAAAACATAGATGGGAAAAGTAAGGAAGCATACTGATTTGCATTCCTACATATTTGTATGCTTTACTGTTTCTCCTGATGCTTCTGCTTCCAATTGCCATCTTCACCTTCGTCATCTCTAGCTTCCTACTTTACTCTCCTCAGTCACTGTTCATTCTTAGCCTCTGATTTCTATCACTTCTTTTGCTGTCCAATTTGTGCTTCCTCTATTTCTTTCCTCAAATACCTCTCCAGCATCATTATGTCACAAAATTATTTGCCCTGAGAATCTCTTGCTCTTCCCCTGCTTTGTGCTGCAGGGAGACTGATTCTTATCTCACTGTGTCAGCTGCATTCCAGCCAGAGTCCACCTATGAGTGGCTCTGGTAAGAGATTGGAAGGCCGAAGATTCTGGTAGTTTTCTTGTCAGTGGCTGTCTCTTCTCCTACCTACTGCTCCTACAAGAAAGGCCTGCAAAGGTTTACACTCCTGCTATGTGACATCTGAGCTTCTGGTAAATCTCATTCTCCCCTTGTCCCTCTGTCTGGGAGTGGAATGTTTCCTGACATCGCTAGTCTGTGTGTGGCTTCACTGTTGATTTGACTGCTTTCACTTTTCTGTCATCAGTATAACCAAAACCCTGCAGAAAACTGCCTCTGTTGTAAATACTTAAGGTGGTTTTTGTTCCTGGTTGGATCCTAAAGAACACAAAATCATTCTCCTTATGATTTCATTGGGTATCCTCCTTTTCCTCAGTACTTCCACTGGATCTCCCTCTTTTATTACTTAACCTGGCCCTTCCACTGGCAAAGCAAGTCTTCTTCTTGCTCTTGCACACTCAATTGCCCTAGTTGACTAAACTGTTAGGATAATTTTATAAAAAGATGAAAAGGAAAGAAAATAAAATATTTCAACAAAACCAAACCAAATTTCTCTGAATCCTTTTAGGTGTGTTTCATGACTCCACCACACTCGCCCTTCCTCTCTTTCTTTCTCTATCTTCTCCCTCTTCCTTCCTTGTCGTTTTTCCTGCCATGTCACTCAGCATGTGAGTTTTGGGCCAGCACATGCATCTTTGGCCTTCAGAATCCAGAGTCTGCAGTTATTACTTGATTTTCTTCAGTACATAATTTTATTTGGCAATTATATTTGTAACCTTAATTTTAAAATATCAGAATATTATTTCATCACGACTATATAATCTAGTTTTATATTTGCTTTGTTGTATGTATGTGTATGCCAATCAGAAATAGCTTAATTGCTTTCTTCATTCTTACAGAGAAACAATTTTAGATAAGAGAATTTTCTGATTCTTCAGGGGAGAACCTTTCTTTTGACTTAAGCTGATTTTAGATAATGCCAGAGACTTTTATTTTTTCCCGTGTTAGCTCATTCAATATTTGGGCGTATTTACTGGAGCCATCACAGCCCCAACTTTTCTGGCTGTTGTGAAGATATTTTTCACTTCTTTCTCTGGTAAAACCTGTTTCATAAAGACCTGGGCTTTAATGCTCTGACGTAAAGCCTTGTTGCCAGGGACTCTGTATCCACATCTCCCTCCCACATTTCTCTGTTCTATCAGCTTCTCCTTTGACTTGATTTCACCCTCCAATTAGGGATATTTGTGTATCTTCGTTGTCCTTCTTGACTATTGTAATAGATTTGCAATTCTTGACCAAAGGTCATCCCATTATTCCCTTATTTAAATTTCATTCCTGTTTCGTATCACTGAGGCGCTTAAAATTCCTATACTGGCATGAGGGTAGCAGCATTTCCTGTGCTAAGTAGCAAAACAGATCCCGAGGAGGAGATCTAACTGCTTAAGCCTACATCATCATCATGTTGGGAAATCTTGACATAAAAGCCATTTTTAAACCCCATAAAGCTTTCAATAAGTAGAAAGTGGTAATAAATGTATTTTAGAAAGAGTATCCTAACATACACAAAACATTACATTTTATTTTATAGGATAGAAACACTTTAAGTTATAAACTTCTTTACATTTATTTACTCACACTAAGGAGTTTCCTCTTTGCATCAGTCTATTAAAAATGATATCCAGGTGCTTCCAGTGGGGACAAGATGGCATGGACCTGTTTTTCTTTCCCTTTTCTGCTAAGCACATCTATGAACCCTGAAAATGGCTCAAGAGACAACCAAAGGAGAACTAAAAGAAGAAAAGTGTGATATTGTTTGGAACCCCAGGACCAACAGAACAGTACAGTGGTAGGGCATCTTGCATGTCTCTTACTCAACAGAGGAAGGCCACCCAGTCCCAGCTTGTCCTGATCCTCATCTTAGCAACAAAAGACAGTGCATTCCTCCCCTAGATCAAACATTCTTCTGATAATATCAAGTGAGATGATCTACAACACCACTGGTGAGGAATCATTTGTGAGCTCTTCCAGAAGCTACCAGTGGAGGCCCTCTCTCCTCTTGCCTGGCCTGAGAGTCCCCTTTTACTAAGAGATACTGGAGTGAAAAGGGCTCCAGTCAATAGAAAAGAATCAGAGAAGCAGGTGGCCTGGATTGGAAAGCCACTCTGTCCCAATGAGTTAGGGACTCTCTTCCACTTCCCAGAGACACCAGAATAGTAGGAGATAAGTGAAAAAGTAGGAGTATCCTGCCATGCCTGTCCTGTTCCTTCATGGAGAGACATCCTGCTACCTGGTCTGGGGAAATTCTGATCATTCAGGCAGTGCCAAGAGGGACTGCTAGGACCCCTAGTGGCACCAGATTAACCAAGCATACCAAAATAACAACATAAAGGTTCTGAAAATAAAACTACCACTGGAATCGTAGCCCATGAAAGTGGGCCAATACTCATAAACAGGCAAATGCCTTTGTGGGGGTATACACACACACACACACACACACACACACACACACACACACACACACATCAGATCCAGAATCTAACATAATACACAAAATGTCCAAGAAAAATTAAAAAATCACCTATTATACCAAGAACTGAGAAAATTATAACTTAAATGAGAAAATCAACTGATATGAATACCAAGAAAATTCAGATACTGAAATTACTGAAAAAAGATTTTAAAGAATCCATAATAAAAATATTTCATTAATAACAAATTATCTTTAAACAAATGAAAAAGTATAAAACTCAACAAATAAATAGAAATGATTTTAAAATGAAGAAACAAATGGAAATTTTAGAACTGAAAAATACAAAATAGAAATAAAACTTATTGGGTGGACTCAATAATAGACTGAGGATGACAGAGGATAAATCAATTAATTTAAGAATAAAGCAATGGGATTCACCCCAACTGGATATCAAGGGGAAAATAGGCAGAAAAAAAATGGACAAAGCCTGGGGTCTTGTAGCATAATAACACAAGATTTAACATTCATATTATCAGGATAGAAGAAAGAGAGTGGGTCACACTGAGAGTATTTAAAGAAATAATGGAAGAAAAATCACCAAATTTAGTATAAGACAAAAACCTGTAAGTTCAAAAGGTTGAATAAATACAAATCAAGATAAACTGATATAATCCATGCCAAGACACACCGTAATTGAACTTTTGAGAAATAAAGCAAAGAGAAAAAAAAAAAAAAAGAATATCCAAGAGACAAGCAGCACATTAACATAGAGGAACACACATTCAAATCACAGTGAGTTTCTCAACCATAGGGGCCAAAAGGAAGTGGATTGTTTTTTCGAGTGCCAAAAGAAAATAACTGTCAACTATAAATTCTATAGCTGCTGAAACTATTCTTTATTAATAACAGAGAAAAAAAAAACTTTCCCCAAAGATACAAACAGAATGAATTTGTCACTAACAGACTTACCATTAAAAACTGTCTTAAGAAAATTATTCAAATGAAAAGAACCTAATATAAAGGAAAGGATCTTGGAATATCAGGAAATAAGAAAAAACAACAGACAGAACAGAATTATGAGTACATTCAATAGGCAATTCTTTTCCTCATGAGTTTTATAAATTATATTTGATATTGAAAGAAAATATCATCTGATATCCAAGACAATGATATTTAAAAGTTGATGAGGGTAAAAGCCCTAAGTGAAGGTGATATTTTCACACTTTATTCAGAGTGGCAAGGTGTTGATGCCAGAAGACTATGCTCACAGCAACCACTATGGAAACTATGCAAAGAAATATACTCAAACACACTGTAAGTAAATCACAAAAGAATACTGTAAAAATGTAAGAAACCTACAGAAAGTTAAGCTGAACAAGACCCAGAGAAAACAAACACAATAGAAGTAATGAAATGACAGATTTAAGCTGTAACATATCAATAATTACCTTAAATGTAAATATGCTAAATGTACCAATCAAAATAGAGATTGGCAGAGTTGATAAGCAGAACACATCAGGGGTTCCCAGCCCACGGGGCTGTGGACCTGTACAAGAAACTAGCCCGCACAGCAGGAGGTGAGCAGTGGGAGAGAGAGCATGACCACCTGAGCTCCATCCACCTCCTGTCAGAATAGCAGTGGCATTAAATTCTCATAGGCGCTTGAACACTATTGTAAACTGTGCAATCAAGGGATTTAGGTTACACATTCCATATGAGAATCTAACTAATGCCTGATGATCTGAGGTTGAACAA
Organism: Homo sapiens; assembly: GCF_000001405.40. NCBI lineage: Eukaryota > Metazoa > Chordata > Mammalia > Primates > Hominidae > Homo > Homo sapiens. The sequence continues at coordinate 70,179 of NT_187531.1, read as the reverse complement.
TTTCATCCTAAAACCATCACCCCCTGGTCCGTGGAAGAATTGTCTTCCATTAAACCACAAAACCAGTCTCTGGTGCCAAAAAGGTTGGGGACCAATGGAATACACCATTAACCATATGCTGCTTACAAGAAAGTCACTTCAGATTCAGACATTAAGTAGGCTGAATGTAGAAGGATGGAAAAAGACATACATGCAAATATTAATTTAAAAAAGGCAAGGAAAACATATCAATATTGGATAAAGTAGCCTCCAGAGCAAAGAAAATTATTAAAGACAGAGATATGTTACATAATAAACGACTCAACTCACCAAGAAAACATAACAATCCTAAAGTGTGGGCACCAAATAAAAGAGCCTCAAAATACATGCAGTAGAAACTATTAATACTATAAGGAAAATATACATAATTACAGTTGGAAAATTCAACACTGCTTATTCAGCAACTAACAGAACTTTTAGAAAAAATATTAGCAAGAATATAGATCTGAACCACACAACAGAATCTAATTGACATATATAGAACTCATCAACCAAAAACATCAGAACACATTTTTTAAAGAGTCCACGGAAGATTTATAAAAATAGACCATAGCCAGGGCCATAAAAGAGCCTCAACAAATTTAAAAGACTTTAAATCTTGCAAGTTGTGTTTTCTGGGCCTAATAGAATCAAGCTAGAAATCAGTAACAGAAAGACAACAAGAAAATCTATAAAAATGTGGAAACTTAAAAAACACACACATTTTTAAATGCAGTCCATGCATCTCAAAGGAGATTTTTTTAAAAGACAAAACTGAACAGGAAATTAATATTGTGAAAATTTCCACACTACCCAAAGCAATATGCAGATTCAATATATTCTCTATCAAAATTGCAATGGCAATTTTGAGAAATTGAAAAAACAATACTAAAATCCATATGGAACCACAAAAGACCCCAAGTAGCCAAAGCAATCTTGTAAAAGAAAAACAAAGTTGAACGCATCACTCTGTCTCATTTCAAATTACATCATAAAGTTACAGTAATCAAAACAGCATAGTACCGACATAAAACAGACAGATAAACGAGTGGAACAAAATAGAGAGCCCCAGAAATAAAACCAAGCATATATGGTCAACTAATTTTTGAAAACGGTACCAAAAACATACAAAAGAGAAAGAATAGTCTTCTTCAATAAATGATGCTGGGAAAACTGTCTAACCACATGCAAAAGTGTAAGACTGGATCATTACCTTACACCATACACAAAATTCAACTCAAAATGCATTAAAGATTTACATGTAAGACTTGAAACCAAAATCTCCTAGAGGAAAATAAACGGGGAGAGCCTCTTTTTAAAAATTATTTTATTTTTATTCATTTATTTAATTTTTAAACAGTGTCTCACTCTGTCACTCAGGTTGCAGTGCAGTGGCATGATCACAGCTCACTGCAGCCTTGACCTCTTGGTTTGCAGTCCTCCTAAGTAGCCTCCCAAGTAGCTGGGACTACAGATGTGTGCTGCCATGCCCAGCTAATTTTTAAAAAAATTTTTAGAGACCACGTGTAACTACATTGCCCAGGCTAGTCTCAAAATCCTTGGCTCAAGTAATCCTCCCACTTTGACCTCCCAAAATGCTGGGATTACAAGCTTAAGCCAACAGGCCCGGCTGGGAAAGCTTCTTGATGTTGGTCTACACAGTGAGATTTTGGATAGGATAACAAAGCACAGGAAACAAAAGAAAAGGTAAAAAAGTAGGTCTACATCAAAGTAAAAAGTTTCCACAAACAGGAAGTAGATAATTAATAAAATGAAAGGGCAGCATATAGATTGCGAGAAAATATTTGCAAACCATTTATCAAAAAAGGAGTTAATATTAGAAATATATAAGGAACTCACAGAATTCAATAGCAAAAAATGAATAATCCAGTTAAAATATGGGCAAAGAACCTGAATAGACAACTCTAAAGAAGATATAAAAATGACCAATAAGTATATGAAAAGGTGTTCACCATCACTAATGATCAGAGTAATGCAACTCAAAATTACAATATCACCTACCCAATAGGATGGCTATTATTAGAAAGACAAGAAACAGCAAGCGTTGGTAAGTTGGTAAGGATGTGAAGAAAAGAAAACACTGTTGATAGGAATGTAAATTATTGCAGCCATAATGAAAAAACAGCGTAGCGTTTCCTAAGAAAATTGAAAATAGAACTGCCATATGACCAAGAAATCTCTCTGCTGGGTATACACTCAAAGGAAATGAAATGAGCATCTTGTAGAGAGCAGCTGCACACTCATGTTCATTGCAGCATTATTCACAATAGGCAAGATATGAAAAAAACCTAAGCATCCATCAATGAATGGTTGGACAAAGAAATTATGTGCAATGGGTTATTCAGCCTTAAAAATAATCTGCCATTTGTAGCAACATGGATGAACCTGGAGAATATTATGTTAAGTGAAATAAGCCAGATCGAAAAAGAAACACCCTGCCTGACCTCTCTTATATGTTGATATGGTTTGTATCTGTGTCTCCACCCACATCTCATGTTGAATTGTAATTCCCAGTGTTGGAGGTGGGGCCCAGTGGGAAGTAATTGGATCACGGAAGTGGATTTCCTCCTTGGTACTGTCCACATGATAGTGACTGAGTTCTTCCAAGATCCGGTTGTTTAACAATATGTGGCACACTCTCCTCCCTCTCTTGCTCCTGCTCCTGCCATGTAAGATGCCTGTTCCTGCTTTGCCTTCCACCATAAGTAAAAGCTCCCTGAGGCCTCCCCAGAAGCAGATGCTGCCATGTTTCCTGTATGGACTGCAGAACCATGAGACAATTACACCTCTTTTCCTTACAAATTACCCAGTCTCAGGTATTTCTTTATAGCAATTCAAAAATGGGCGAATACATGTGTGGCATATATAAAGAAGTATAGTACATAGATACATGGTAGAATGGTAGTTAACAGAGGCAGGAGTTAGGGCAGAAATGGAGAGATGAAGGTTAAAAGGTACAATTGTGCAGCTATGCAGGATAAGTCTAGAGAACTAATCTACAGCATGAAGACTATAGTTAATAATATTGTATTATACACAGAAAATTGGCTAATGGAGATTTTAGGGGATCTCACACATTTTAAAAGATGACTTCATAAGATGATGGATATGTTAATTGGCTTGAATATAATAATCATTTAACTATGTATATGCATATCAAAACATCAAATGGTATAACTTAAATATATATATAAATGAATAAAACAAAATTGAATTTGAAAGAAAAGGAAAAGCATAGCAAAATATGTGGAAGGCATAAAAGCATAGAAAGGGATTAAATGAATAATTTAATTTCTAATCACAAGGAACTACAAAAAGAAAAGCAAAATAAACACAAAACAAGCCAAAGGAAGCAGTTAATAAAATAACAAAAATTAATAAAATGCAAAATTGTTTAAAAATGCAGAAAAATCAAATGATATGAAAAGCTTATTCTTTAAAATAAATCAATAAAATTAGTAAATCTCCAATAACACTAACAAATGTAAAAGAACAAAGGACAAAAATTGCCACTGTCAGAAATAAAATAGAAGATATCACTAGAGATTCTACAGCCAAGGACAAGATAACAAGGGAATACTTCAGAAATACTTTGCACTCATAAACTAGACAACTTAGGATAAATGGATCAATTCCTCAAAAACCACACACTACTGAAACTCAAGATGATCCGAATAGACTCATAACCATCAAAGACCTTAAATTCATAATTAAAATTCTATTAAAATATAAATCTCTGGACACAGAAGTCTGATGGTTTTAATAATTCTACCAAATATTTTTAAAGAATTATTACAAATTTTTAATAATCTCTTCCAGAAAACAGAAGATGAGGAAATATTGCCCAACTCATTTTATAGGACTAGTATTACTGAACTACAAAAGTGTGTTAAGGCAGCTTCCTGCTCCCCACCATGAAAAAACCACAGGCAAAGAGCTCTCACAAATGTAGATGCTAAATACTCAAAAAATATTAGCAAACAAAATCCAAAAATGTACAAAATAATTATACACTATGACCAGTTGAAACTTATTTCAGGGTTTCAGGCCTGGTTGAATATTTGAATATCAAACAGTGCAATTCACCATATCAAAAAGTCAAAAAAGCAAATTCTGATTATGCTAAGTAACAGAGGAAAACATTAAAAAATCCAACACCAGCCAGGCACGATGACTCAGGCACGTAACACCAGCAATTTGGGAGGCTGAGGTGGGCAGATCACCTGAGGTCAGGAGTTTGAGACCAGCCTGGCCAACATGGTGAAACCTCATATCTATTAAAAATACAAAAATTAGCCAGGTGTGGTGGTGGGCGCCTGTAAGCCAGCCTACTTGGGAGGCTGAGGCAGGAGAATTGTTTGAACCCGGGAGGCGGAGTCTGCAGTGCAGGGCACTGCACTGCAGCCTGAGAGACAGAGTGAAACCGCGTCCCCCTGCCAACAAAAAAATCCAACACCCACTCATATTAAAAAAAAAAAACTCCAAGAAAAGTAGGAGTTGATGGTGAAAGTCTTCAATTTGATAAAGAAAATCTACAAAAAGCCAGCAATGAACACTCTTGGTTATAGACTAAATTCTTTCCCCCTAAGATCATGAACAAGGCAAGGATGTCTGTTCTTTTTACTCTTATTCAACATGATCTGCATGTTCTAACAAGTTCAATAAAGCAAACAAAAGGGAATTAAAGTCATACTAATTGAAGCAAAAGAAATAAAATTATGCTTCATTTGCAAATGTCATGATTGTCTGTATAGAAATTCAATACAAGTCTCCTCTCCAAAAAACCCAAAAAAACAAAAACTCAAATACTAAAACTAATGAGTGAGTTTATTTGGTCACATGATGCAAGATCAACACACAAAAATCAAACATATTTCCATACATTAATACACCATATGTGTGTGTCTGTGTGCTTGCACACGAGTGTGCATGTGCATGTCCATGAGTGTGAGCGTGAGTATATACAGAGGTGTACTTAAAGAAATTGGAATTGGTTTGTGTGATTATTATAAGGGTTGGCCAGTCCAAAATTTGTAGAGCAGGCCAAGAAACTGAAAACTTTCAAATGATGCTGCAGTGTTTAGACAGATATTTTTCTTCTTAGAAACACTTCGGTATTGCACTTAAAGCCCTTCAACTTATTGGATGAGGCCCACCATTGAGAATAATGTCTATTACTTAAAATTAGCTGATTGTAGTTGTTAAAACATCTACAAAATGCCTCCACAGCAACACTTCAAGTATTAAGTTGGTACAAAAGTCACTACAGTTTTTGCTTTTGAAAGTAATGTCAAAAACTGTACTTACTTTTGAACCAACCTAATAGCAAATGATCAAATGATTGTGTACCATAACCTAGCAAATTTAACATATTAATTAACCATTGCAGTTTACCTTGGTCAACGTGGTGTCCATACCTATCCCCCAAATCATACTTAATTTCTAAATAAAGACAACAATGAAGTCATACTTCCATGCAACATGATACAGCAATTGTGCCTGCAACTGAAAACACAGTAGTCCTTTTCCCAGAAGAGGTGACACAGTCCTTAGATGAAGTTCACTCTTCTTCAAATCTTAAATACTGTGATTTAAAGTTAACCATTATTCAATACATCTTATGTTAGATAATGAGGGGATAAGAGAGGGTAGAAAGCAAAGATTTGATGCACAAACCTATTTATCTTTAAAAAAAGAAAGAAATACTCAACAATTACAACTCTTGTCTCTGCAACTGATAACATAGTGGTGAGCTTGTTTGTATAATTCTCTCTTTCTACTACCCATTCCATATTCTCTTTACTCCAAACAAGCACCTCACCTGGTCATGTTTTTTGTTTTGTTTTATTTTGTTTTTGCCTCATTCAGTGACCCAAATCTTCATTTCCAAAGTGACCAAGCCATTGGAAATTGTGTGTGAATTGAGATGTTGTAGTTTTTTCCATGGAAACTTTTGTCACTGGGACCTTCCCTGAGGGAGACATATTCTTCCTTATACCCCCTGTGTCATGGCAGGCTAATTTTCCCTTGTTAATCAGAAGTAATCTTTCCTGACAGCAAAGTAACTCCCTCCTTTGATGATTCAGATGCACAAGGAGCCCAAAGAGGCTCTGTGAAAGACCTAACCCCCAGTTTGGTGGGATCATTGCTTTGTTTCCTGATAGCAGCAATCCTCCCTTTGAAACAAAAACCTCTAGACCAGTAGAGCATCGTAAGGTCAGAGGACAAGAAGCAAAAATTTTACTAGTATATTAAACAATAAATAAAGGAAAACTTTCTTAACTTGATAAAAAAATCTGCAAAGAACATATAGTTAACATTTATACTTAGGTGTGAAAATGCAAAGCTTTTCAACTGGGATTAAGAACAAGGCAAGGGTATCCTGTCACCACTACTTTTCAACATTTTACTACAAAACCTAGCTAATGCAATAAGACAAGAAAATAAAATCAAACGTATACAAATTGGGAAGGAAGAAATAAAACTGTCTTTGTTCACATAATTACCTACGTAGAAGATTTGAAAGTATTAATCAAAAACAATAACAACAACAACAACCGGAACTACTAAGCAATTCTATCAAAGTTTCAGGATACAAAGATAATATACAAGTGAGTCACTTATCTATATAGCAGCAATGAATAAATTGTTGCTAGAAATTGGTATTAAAAATTTATTACCAAGTCGTTCCAAGATGGTCGAATAGGAACAGCTCCGGTCTGCAGCTCCCAGTGTGATCAATGCAGAAGACGGCTGATTTCTGTATTTCCAACTGAGATACCTGGTTCATTTCATTGGGACTGGCTGGAAAGTGGGTGCAGCCCATAGAAGGCAAGCTGAAGCAGGGCGAGGCACCTCAGCCGGGAAGCACAAGGGGTTTGGGGATTTCCCTTTCCTACCCAAGGGAAGCCCTGACAGACTGTATCTGGAAAAACAGGACACTGCTGCCCAAATACTGCACTTTTCCTATGGTGTTAGCAACTGGCAGACCAGGAGATTCTCCCCCATACCTGGGTCGGCGGGTTACACGCCCACAGAACCTTGCTCACGGCTAGCGCAGAAGTCTGAGATCCACCTGCAAGGCTGCAGCCGGGCGGGGGGAGGTGCATCCACCATTGCTGAGGCTTAAGTAGGTAAACAAAGTGGCAAGGAAGCACAAAGTGGGTGGAGCCCACTGCAGCTCAGCAAGGCCTACTACCTCTATAGGCCTCACCTCTGTGGGCAGGGCATAGCTGAACAAAAGGCAGCAGAAACTTCTGCATACTTAAACATCCCTGCCTGACAGCTCTTAAGAGAGCAGTGGTTCTCACAGCATGGTGTTTGAGCTCTGAGAATGGACAGACTGACTCCTCAAGTAGGTCCCTGACCCCCGTATAGCCTAAGTGGGAGACACCTCCCAGTAGGGGCCGACTGACACCTCCTACAGGTGGGTGCCCTTCTGGGACGAAGCTTCCAGAGGAAGGATCAGGCAGCAATATTTGCAGTTCAGCACCCTGTGCGGTGATACCCAGACAAACAGGGTCTGGAGTGGACTTCCAGCAAACTCCAACAGACCTGCAGCTGAGGGACTGACTGTTAGAAGGAAAACCAACAAACAGAAAGGAATAGCATCAACATCAATAAAAAGGACATCCACACCAAAACCCCATCTGTAGGTCACCAACATCAAAGACCAAAGGTAGACAAAACCACAAAGATGGGGAGAAACCAGAGTAGAAAAGCTGAAAATTCTAAACACCAGAGTGCCTTTTCTCCTCCAAATGATCACAGCTCCTCGCCAGCAATGGAACAAACCTGGACGGAGAATGACTTTGATGAGCTGACAGAAGTTGGCTTCAGAAGGTCAGTAATAATAAACTACTCTGAGCTAAAGGAGCATGTTCTAACCCATAGCAAGGAAGCTAAAAACCTTGAAAAAAGGTTAGATGAATGGCTAACTAGAATAAACAGTATAGAGAAGACTGTAAATGACCTGATGTAGCTGAAAACCGTGGCATACGTAAGAATTTCGTGACACATGCACAAGCTTCAATAGCCAAGTCAATCAAGTGGAAGAAAGGGTATCAGTGATTGAAGAACAAATTAATGAAATACAGTGAGAAGACGGGTTTAGAAAAAAAGAGTAAAACAAAATGAATAAAGCCTCCAAGAAATATGGGACTATGTGAAAAGACCAAATCTACATTTGATTGGTGTACCTACAAGTGATGGGGAGAATGGAACCAAGTTGGAAAACACTCTTCAGGATATTATCCAGGAGAAATTCCCCAACCTAGCAAGGCAGGCCCACATACAAATTCAGGAAATACAGAGAACACTACGAATATACTCCTCGAGAAGAAAATCCCCAAGACTCATAACTGTCAGATTCACCAAGGTTGAAATGATGGAAAAAATGTTAAGGGCAGCCAGAGAGAAAGGTCAGGTTACCCACAAAGGGAAGCCCATCAGACTAACAGCGGTTCTCCTGGCAGAAACCCTACAAGCCAGAAGACAGTGGGGGCTAATATTTAATATTCTTAAAGTATTTCCAACGCAGAATTTCATATCCAGCCAAACTAAGCTTCATAAGTGAAGGAGAAATAAAATCCTTTACAGACAAGCAAATGCTGAGAGATTTTGTCACCACCAGGCCCGCCTTACAAGAACTCCTGAAGGAAGTACTACACATAGAAAGGAACAACTGGTACCAGCCACTGCAAAAAATGCTAAATTGTAAAGACCACTGATGCTAGGAAGAAACTGCATCAACTAATGAGCAAAATAACCAGCTAACATCATAATGACAGGATCAAATTCACACATGACAGTATTAACCTTAAATGTAAATGGGATTAATGTCCCAATTAAAAGATACAGACTGGCAAACTGGATAAAGAGTCAAAGTCCATTGGTGTGCTGTATTCAGGAGACACATCTCAAGTGCAGAGACACACATAGGCTCAAAATAAAGGGATGGAGGAAGGTCTACCAAGCAAATGAAAATCAATAAAAAAGCAGGGGTTGCAATTCTAGTCTCTGATAAAATAGACTTCAAACCAACAAAGATCAAAAGAGACAATGAAGGCCATTACATAATGGTAAAGGGATCAATTCAACAAGAAGAGCTAACTATCCTAAATATATATGCACCCAATACAGGAGTACCCAGATTCATAAAGCAAGTCCTTGGAGACCTACAAAGAGACTTAGACTCCCACACAATAATAATGGGAGACTTTAACACCCCACTGTCAACATTAGACAGATCAATGTTAGAAGGTTAACAAGGATATCTAGGACTTGAACTCAGCTCTGCACCAAGTGGACCTAATAGGCATCTACAGAACTCTCCACACCAAATCAACAGAATATACATTCTTCTCAGAACCACATCGCACTTATTTTAAAATTGACCACATAATTGGAAATAAAGCACCCTCAGCAAATGTAAAAGAACAGAAATCACAACAAACTGTCTCTCAGACCAGTGAAATCAAACTAGAACTCAGGATTAAGAAACTCATTCAAAATCGCAGAACTACATGGAAACTAAACAACCTGCTCCTGAATGACTACTGAGTAAATAACGAAATGAAGGCAGAAATAAAGATGTACTTTGAAACCAATAAGAACAAAGACACAATGTACCAGAATCTCTGGGACACATTTAAAGCAGTGTGTAGAGGGAAATTTATAGCACTAAATGCCCACAAGAGAAAGCAGGAAAGATCTAAAATTGACACCCCAACATCACAATTAAAAGAACTAGAGAAGCAAGAGCAAACACATTCAAAAGCTAGCAGAAGGAAAGAAATAACTAAGATCAGAACACAACTGAAGGAGATAGAGAAAAAAAAAACCTTTCAAAAATCAATGAATGCAAGAGCTGGTTTTTGAAAAGATCAACAAAATTGATAGGCCGCTAGCAAGACAAAGAAGAATAGAGAGCAGAATCAAATAGGCTCAATTAAAAAAATGATAAAGGGGATATCACCACCGATCCCACAGAAATACAAACTACCATCAGAGAATAAACACCTCTATGCAAATAAACTAAAAAATCTAGAAGAAATGGATAAATTCCTGGACACATACACCATCCCAAGGCTAAACCAGTAAGAAGTTGAATCTCTGACTAGACCAATAACAGGCTCTGAAATTGAGGCACTAATTAATAGCCTACCAACCAAAAAGAGTCCAAGACCAGATGGATTCACAGCCAAATTCTACCAGAGGTACAACGAGGAGCTGGTACTATTTCTTCCGAAACTATTTCAATCAATAGAAAAAGAGGGAATCCTCCCTAACTCATTTTATGAGGCCAGGATCATCCTGATACCAATGCCTGGCAGAGACACAAAAAAGGGAGAATTTTAGACCAATATCCCTGATGAACACTGATGCGAAAATTGTCAATAAAATACTGGCAAACCGAATCCAGCAGCACATCAAAAAGCTTATCCACCATGATCAAGTTGGCTTCATCCCTGGAATACAAAGGCTGGTTCAACATATGCAAATCAATAAACGTAATCCATCACATAAACAGAACCAATGACAAAACCACATGATTATCTCAATAGATGCAGAAAAGGCCTTTGACAAAATTCAACAGCGCTTCATGCTAAAAACTCTCAATAAATTAGGTATTGATGGAACATATCTCAAAATAATAAGAGCTATCTGTGACAAACCCACAGCCAATGTCATACTGAATGGGCAAAAACTAGAAGCATTCCCTTTGAAAGCCGGCACAAGACAAGGATGCCCTCTCTCACCACTCCTATTCAACACAGTGTTAAAAATTCTGGCCAGGGCAATCAGGCAAGAGAAATAAATAAAGGGCATTCAATTAGGAAAAGAGGAAGTCAAATTGTCCCTGTTTGCAGATGACATGACTGTATACTTAGAAAACCCCATCGTCTCAGCCCAAAATCTCTTTAAGCTGATAAACAACTTCAGCAAAGTCTCAGGATACAAAATCAATGTGAAAAAATCACAAGCATTCTTATACAACAATAAAAGACAAATAGAGAGGCAAATCAGAGTGTACTCCCATTTACAACTGCTACAAAGAGAATAAAATACCTAGGAATCCAACTTACAAGGGATGTGAAGGACCTCTTCAAGGAGAACTACAAACCACTGCTCAGTGAAATAAAAGAGGACACAAACAAATGGAAGAACATTCCATGCTCATGGATAGGAAGAATCAATATCATGAAAATTGCCATACTGCCCAAGGTAATTTACAGATTCAGTGCCATCCCCATCAAGTTACCAATGACTTTCTTTACATTATTGGAAAAAAACTACCTTTAAGTTCATATGGAACCAAAAAAGAGCCCACATTGCCAAGTCAATCCTAAGCAAAAAGACAAAGCTGGAGGCATCATGCTACCTGACTTCAAACTATACAACAAGGCTACAGTAACCAAAACAGCATGGTACTGTTACCAAAACAGAGATACAGACCAATGGAACAGAACAGAGCCCTCAGAAATAATACCATCTGATCTTTGACAAAACTGACAAAAACAAGAAATGAGGAAAGGACACCCTATTCAATAAATGCGCTGGGGAAACTGGCTAGCCATATGCAGAAAGCTGAAACTGGATCCCTTCCTTACACCTTATACAAAAACTAATTCAAGATGGATTAAAGACTTAAATGTTAGACCTAAAACCATAAAAACCCTAGAAGAAAACCTAGGCAATACTATTCAGGACATAAGCATGGGCAAGAACTTCATGACTAAAGCACTAAAAGCAATGGCAAAAAAAAAAAAAAAAAAGCCAAAGTAGACAAATGGCACCTAATTAATCTAAAGAGCTTCTGCACAGCAAAAGAAACTACCATCAGAGTGAACAGGCAACCTACAGAATGGGAGAAGATTTTTGCAATCTACCCATCTGACAGAGGGCTAATAGCCAGAATTTACAAAGAACTTAAACAAATTTACAAGAAAAAACAACCCCATCAAAAAGTGGGCCAAGTTTATGAACAGACACTTCTCAAAAAAGACATTTATGCCGCCAACAGATACATAAAAAAAATGCTCATGATCACTGGTCATCAGAGAAATGAAAATCAAAACCACAATGAGACACTATCTCATGTCAGTTAGAATGGTGATCATTAAAAAGTTAGGAAACAACAGATGCTGGAGAGGATGTGGAGAAATAGGAATGCTTTTACACTGTTGGTGGGAGTGTAAAGTAGTTCACCCATTGTGGAAGACAGGGTGGAAATTCCTCAGGAATTTTGAACTAGAAACACCATTTGACCCAGCAATCCCATTACTGGGTATATACCCAAAGGATTATAAATCATGCTGCTATAAAGACACTTGCACACGTATGTGTATTGTGGCACTATTCACAAGAGCAAAGACTTGGAACCAACCCAAATGTCCATCAATGATAGACTGGATTAAGAAAATGTGGCACATATACACCATGGAATATTATGCAATCATAAAAAAGATGAAGCTGGAAACCATCGTTCTCAGCAAACTATCACAAGGACAGAAAACCAAACACTGCATGTTCTCACTCATAGGTGGGAACTGAACAATGAGAACACTTGGACCCAGGGAGGGCAACATCACACACCGGGGCCTGTTAGGGGGTGAGGGGCTGAGGGAGGGAGAGCATTAGGAGAAATACCTAATGTAAATGACAAGTTGATGGGTGCAGCAAAACAACATGGCACATGTATACCTATGTAACAAACCTGCACATTGTGCACATATACCCTAGAACTTAAAGTATAGTAAAAAATTATTACCACTTACATTAGCACCCCTAAAATAAAATACTTAGGTATAAATATAAAAATGTATAAAATCTAAAGGAGGAAAACTATAAAATTCTGAAGAAGAAATAAAGAACAAAATAAATAGAAGGATCTTTCTTGTTCATAATTAGGAAGACTCAATATTGTCATGATGTCAGCTATTTCCTATTTAATGTATAAATTCAATGTAATTCCAATAAAAATCCTAACAGCTGTTTTGTGGCCATCAGCAAAGTGACTTTAAAGTTTATATGGAGAGGCAAAAAAGAAACCCCACGTAATAACCAACCAAATATTGAAGAAGAACAAAGTCCGAGAATGTACAATATCCAACTTTAAGACTTTATATAAAGCTGCAGTAATCCAGACAGTGTGGAACTGGTGAAATAATAGGCAAATAAATCAGTGGAACAGAATAGGGACCCCAGAAATAGATTGATATGGTCAACTGATATTTGACAATGGAGCAAAAACAACACAATGGAGCAAGGAGTGTTTTCAAAAAATGGTAATAAAATAACCTCACATCGACATAAAAAATCTAAATACAAACTTTACACCCTTGACAAAAACTGACTCAAAGTATATCTCAGAACTAAATTGTAAAACACAAAACTATAAAATTCCTAGAAGATAATATGGAAGAAAATCTAGAAGGCCTTGGGTTTGACAATGATTTTTCAGATATGACACTAAAGATCAAAATATTGAATTATTAAGCTGGACTTAATCAAAATTACAAATTTTGACTCTCTGTAAAAAGTCTAAGGAGAATGAAAAGACAAGTCACAGAGTGGGGAAAATGTTTGCAAAAGACATAACCTTAAAGGACTGTTATTCCAAATATGCCAGAACTCCTAAAACTCAACAATAAGAAAACTTAATTTAAAAATTGCTAACAACCTTGACAGACATCTCACCAAAGAAGATACACAAATGGCAAATAAGCACATAAGGAGATGTTCCACAACATATTTCATGAGGGAAATGCAAGTTAAACCATATGATACCAGTTTACATCTGGATTAGCTTAGCAAAATCCAGAACACCAACACTAGATGTTGGTTAAGATGTAGAGCAACCCTAACTCTCATTCATTACTGGTGAGAATGCACAATGGTACAGCCACTTTGGATGATATGTTGGCAATTTCTTACAAAACTAAACATATTCTTATCATACAATCTAGCAATCTTACTCCTTAGTATATATCCAAAGTAACGGAAAATTTATGACCACACAAAAACCTGTGCTTGAATGTTTACAGCACCTTTACTCATAATTGCAAAAACATGGAAGCAACCAAGATGTCCTTAAGTAGATGAATAACTATGATACATCCAGATGACAAAATATTATTTAGTGCTAAAAACAAATTAAGTATTGAGAAATAAAAATATGGAAGAAACCCAAAGGCATATTAGTAAAAGAAACCAATCCGAAAAGGCTATGTACTGTGTGATTCCAACTATATGACATTCTAGAAGGCAAAACTATGTAGATAGCTAAAAGATCAGTAGTTGCAGGGATGAGGGAACAGGAAGGAATAAATAGATGGTTCACAGAGGATTTTTAGGGCAGTAAAACTATTCTGTATAGTACTACAATGGTAGATACATGTCATTATATATTTGTCCAAATCCATACCATATATAACACCAAGATTGAACCTTAATGTAAATTGTGGACTTTGGGTGATAATACTGAGTTAATGTAGATTCAAAGATTGCAACAAATGTACTACTCTGGTGGGTAATGTTGGTAATGGGTGAAGCTATGCATGTTTGGGAGTAGGAGATATGTATTAGCCATGGGTCTCCAGAGAAACAGAAGCAGTGGGATATATACAGATAAATAAGAGGAGATTTATTATGAGAATTGGCTCAATTATGAGTGCCAAGATTTCCCATGACATGTTCTCTGCAAGGTGGAAAACCAGGAAATCTAGTGGTATAATTCAGTCCAATTCTGAAGGCCTGAGAACCAGATAGGAGCCGATGATATAACTCCCAGTCCAAGGCATAAGGTCTGAGAACCAGGAGGTATAAGACCCGGAATCTAAAGATCTGGGAATCAGGAGTTTTGATGTCCAAAGTCAATAAACAATGCATGCTTAGCTTAAGAAGAGAGAGAGAATTTGCTCTTCTTCTGCCTTTACGTTCAATTCAGATTCTCAATGGATGGGATGATGCCTTCCCATACTGATGAAAGCAGACCTTCTTTAAACAGTCTATTGATATCATTTTTTTTTTTTTTTTTGAGATGGAGTTTCACTCTTGTTGCCCGGGCTGGAGTGCAACAGCATGATCTTGGCTCACTGCAACCTCTGCCTCCTGGGTTCAAGTGATTCTCCTGCCTCAGCCTCACGAGTAGCTGAGATTACAGGCATGTGCCACCACGCTCAGCTAATTTTGTATTTTTAGTAGAGGCAGGCTTTCTCCATGTTGGTCAGGCTGGTCTCAAACTCCCAACCTCAGGTGACCTGGCTGCCTCGGCCTCCCAAAGTGCTGGAATTACAGGTGTGAACCACCGCACCCAGGCTTAAATGTCAACCTCTGCTAGAAACAACCTCACAGGTAAATCTAGAAATGTTTTACTTTCTATCTAGACGTCCTTTAGCTCACTCAAGTTGGCAAAAAAAATTAACAATAACAGGCTATGTTGGAAATCTCAGTACCTTCTACTCAATTTTTCTGTGAACCTAAAATTGTTCTAAGCAATGAAATCTGTAATATAAAATTATAATATATAATTATAATTGATGCAAAAGTAAATACTTTTGCATTATTGAAATTTGCCATTTGATACTGAAATACATTCCTGGCCGGGTGCGGTGGCTCACGCCTGTAATCCCAGCACTTTGGGAGGCCGAGGCGGGCAGATCACAAGGTCAGGAGATCGAGACCATCCTGGCAAACACGGTGAAAACCCGTCTCTACTAAAAATACAAAAAAATTAGCTGGGCGTGGTGGCGGGCACCTGTAGTTCCAGCTACTCAGGAGGCTGAGGCAAGAGAATGGCATGAACCTGGGAGGCGGAGCTTGCAGTGAGCAGAGATCACGCCACTGCACTCCAGCCTGGGCAAGAGAGCAAGACTCCGTCTCAAACAAACAATCAAACAAAAAGAAATACATTCTTAAATAAACGTGGTCATGTTATACATGAATGCGCATTTCTCGCTTTATTTTTTTTGCTAATGACTTAGTACTTGCTGTTTATTTTACATTTATTTTAGACTACGGAAATGATGTTAGACAGAAAGCAAATTTGAGCAGTTTTCTTTTTTGAGTTCAAAATGGGTCATAAAACAGCAGGGACAACTCACAACATCAACAATGCATTTGGCCCAGGAACTGCCAACAAATGTACAGTGTAACGGTGGTTCAAGAAGTTTTGCAAAGGAGACAATAGCCTTGAAGATGAGGAGTGTAGTGGCCGGCCATTGGAAGTTAATGACCAATTGAGAGCAATCTTTGAAGCTCATCCTCTTACAACTGCATGAGAAGTTGCCAAAGAACTCAACATCAACCATTCTACGGTTACTTGGTATTTGAAGCAAACTGGAAAGGTGAAAAAGCTCGATAAATAGGTGCCTCATAAGCAGGATGAACATTTAAAAAAAAATCATTGCTTTGAAGTGGCATCTTCTCTTATTCCATGCAATGACAATGAACCATTTCTCAATCGGATTGTGACGTGGGAGGAAAAGTGTATTTTATACAACAACTAGTGACAACCAGCTCAGTAGTTAGAACAAGAAGAAGCCTAAAAGTACTTTCCCAAAGCCAAACTTGCACCAAAAAAGCATCATGGTCACTGGTGGTCTGCTGCCGGTCTGATCCACTACAGCTTTCTGAATCTTAGCAAAACCATTACATCTGAGAAGTATGCTCAGCAAATCGATGAGATACACAGAAAACTGCAATGTCTGCAGCTGGCCTTGGTCAACAGAAAGGGCCTGATTCTTCTCCACAACAATGCCTGACTGCACGTTGCACAACCAACACTTCAAAAGTTGAACAAATTGGGCTATGAAGTTTTGCCTCATCCACCATATTCACCTGACCTCTCGCCAACCAACGACCACTTCTTCAAGCATCTTGAAAACTTTTGGCAGGAAAAATGCTTCTGCAACCAGCAGGATGCAGAAAATGCTTTTCGAGAGTTTGCTGAATCCTAAAACATGGATTTTTATGCTATAAGAAAAAAACAAGCATTTCTCCTTGGCAAAAATGTGTTGATTGTAATGCTTCCTATTTTGATTACAAAAGATTTGTTTGAGCCTAGTTGTAATGATTTAAAATTCACAGTCTAAAACCACAGTTACTTTTGTACCAACCCAATAAAATTGCTAGTTGATTACTAAAAGTAATAGTGAGTGGTGGCTGGGTGTGGTGGCTCATGCCTGTAATCCCAGCATTTTTCCATTTTGGGAGGCTGAGGCAGGAGGATCACGAGGTCAGGAGTTCAAGACAAGCCTGATCAACATGGTGAAGCCCTGTCTGTACTAAAAATACAAAAATTAGACGGGCGTGGTGGTGCACGCCTGTAACCTCAGCTACTCAGGAGGCTGAGCTAGAAAAATTGCTTGAACCCGGGAGGCAGAGTTTGCAGTGAGCTGAGATTGTGCCACCGCACTCTGGTCTCACAACAGACCCAAACTTTGTCTCAAGAAAAAAAAAAAAAAAAAAGTGAGTGGCACCACCCCCACGAGCATGGGCTCATTCCACACTTTGTTTGCCATGAAATGCTCAATTTTATATGATGGAAACAATCCAATATAATCAATCTGCCACTATGTGACTGACTAATCACTCCAAAGAATCACGTCGTATGAGAAACCACATGTTGCGCTGTGTTGCCAGCAGATTGGACACACAGCATTAGCTATACCTAGATGAGCATTGGTGAATGACAGTCCACATTGCTGAGCCGATGTACGCCCTTCATCTCTGCCATTTGGACAAATTGGGCACTTTGTTCGTGGATTCATTGAGCAATGACAGATGGGGATGACTGGGAAAAAATGCTAACTGCTATCGACAGAATGGGTCATCCTAACTACTTGTTAATTAAATTCTTCCTCTGCTCAGATTATTCTTTGGTGAGCATTCAGGTGAAATACAAATATTTCCATGTTTCTCCTATTCAAAAAGGCTTAGCCATATACCTCTTCCCCAGACTTCCCTTTCAGTACTTATCTAATCATTTTCCTTCCAAATTCTTGACCATCCAGCCAAACAATTGGTTGCAGCCTAGGAATTAATATAGACTTGTACCTCTGGCCATTTCTCCCTCCAAGCAAGATAAACCAAAGTTTTGCACACTGGGAGAATTTCCCTTCACCATTGTTTTTCAGGAAAGTCCCAAAAAGGAGCTATGGTTCTTCAGCTGCTTACTCCCAGGTGGTGCCTGTATATCATGCAGAGTGATCTGTAAACCAGGCCAAAGCTTTCTCTTCTTCAGTTAACTGATTATAGAGAGTTCCCAAGGAAATGAGAGGTGTGGGATGGATGAAAGAAGGTAATGCAGCAGGAGTAGGAGCCCTGGGCCCGCTTCTCATGTAACTTACCTGAGCCTTTAGGGCCTACTAGGGGCCAATCTCATGAATACTGCTTCCATTTGAAGATAGAGTGCTGCTTCCAGACACCCAACTTTATAGCTTGATGAGTCAGACAACCACTAGTTCACAATGGGTAGTACAGGTTACATGGTAACTTGGTGGCCAATGATTGCGTTCAGTCTCTACTAAGGTTCAGTAGCAAATAAAAATCTTCTACTAAAAAAGAGATGAGTTATTCACTGAATATGATGCAGATTTGCTCCAAAATCGTAAGGATCTGCACTATTATGCACTATAGTAACGTGCTAAGGAGTCCAAATAGCACCTCTCTCTGCCAGTGACACTTCACACCCCTTTGGATCTGCTGGATCATATGGCCTAAGTGGCAGAGCAGCTTGCACAGTAGCCTAGACCTGTTGCAGAACCTTCTTCTATTGTGTGCTCCACTTAAAACTAACAGTTTTTTGGATCACTTGGTAAATGGGCCAGAGTAACCTAGCCAAATGAGGAAAATATTGCTTTCAAAATTCAAAGAGACCCACTAGATACTATACCTCTTTTATGCTTGTAGAAGGGTGTAGATACAACAATTTATCATTTGCCTTATTCCACCCTGCCTAACACAGTAGTCTTCTAGAAACTTCACTGAAAAAAAAGCCCCTGAATTTTTGCCAATTTTATTTTTCAACATCTCACATGCAAATATTTTATCAGTAAGTCTAGAGTAATAGCTATTTCTTGCTCACTAAGTGAAATAAGCTAGTGTCATATATATAATAGTCCAGCATTTTGTCTTGTGGAAAGAAAAAAAGATCAAATTCCCTGAATACCATATAATGACATAGGGCTGGAGCATTGATATACCCTTGAGGGAGGACAGTGAAGATGTATTGCTGGCCTTGCCAACTGAAAGCACACTTCTTCTGGTGGCCTTTATTAACAAATATTAAGAAAAAAAGCATTTTCCATGTTAATAGCTATATACCAGATACCAGGGGATGTGTTAATTTGCTCAAGCAATAAAACCACATCTGGGACAGTAGATGCAATTGGCATCAATGCTTAGTTAAGCTTATTATTTCTCACTGTCATTCTCCAAGTTCCATCTGCTTTCTGGATAGGCCAAATAGATGAGTTGAATGGGGATAAGTACAAATCATCATCTTATCTTTCAAGTCCTTGATGGTGGCATTAATGTCTGTAATCCCTCCAGGTATTCAGTATTGCTTTTGATTTAGAAACAAAGAATAGATAACTTAGATAAAAATCCACATATTTATGGCCAACTCCTGTTTGACAAAGATTTCAAGGATATAAAATGGGGAAAGAACAGTTTATTCAATTAATGGTGCTAGAAAACCTGGATAACTATGCAGAAGAATGAAACTAGACCCCTATCTCTGATCATACACAAAAATCAAATCAATATGGATTAAAGACTTAAATCTAAGACCTCAAACTATGAAACTACTAGAAGAAAACTTTGGGGAAATGGTTTTTTGTCTTTTCCCAGGAAGTTGGTCTAGGCAAAGATTTTTTTGTGTATGACTTCAAAATCATAGGCAACCAAAAGCAAAAATAGACAAACAGAAACAAATCAAGCTAAAGCTTTCCTGGACAACAAAGGAAACAATTAACAAAGTGAAGAGACAACCCACGGAATGGGACAAAATATTTGCAAACTATGCATCTGACAAGAAATTAATAACCAACATCTACAAGGAACTCAACTCAATAGCAAAAACAAATAATTGTATTTTTAAAATGAAGAAAAGGTCTAAGGCATTTCTCAAAAAAAGAGATACAAATGGCCAACAGGTATGTGAAAAGAAATATTCAACATCACTAATCATCAGACAAATGCAAATCAAAACCACAATGAAATATCATCTCACCTTAGTTAATATGGCTTTTATAAAAATAATAGGCAATAACAGATGCTGATGAGAATGAGGAGAAATGAGAATCCTTGCACAATGTTGGTGGGTATGTAAATTAGTACAACCACTATGGAGAACAGTATAGTTTTCCCTCAAAAAAAAAAAAAATTGAACTATCATATGATCCAGCAATTCCACTACTGGCTATATATCCAAAAGAAAGAAAATCAATATATTGAAGAGATGTCTACACTCTCATGCTTACTGCAACACTAATCACAATAGCCAAATTGTAGAATCAGCCTAACTGCCTATCAAAGGAGGAATGGATAAAGAAAACATGGTATATACTTATATACAAAATAAATTTATAAAAAATATAAATATATACAATACATATGTACAATTAAATACTATTCTTCCACAAAAAATAATAAAATCCTGTTATTTGCAGAAACATGGATGGAACTGGATGCTAAGTAAAATAAACCCAAGCACAAAGAGACAAACATTGCATATTCCTATTCACATATGGAAGCTAAAAAAGTAGCTCTCTTACATAGAGAGTAGGTTGGTGGTTATCAGAGGCTAGGAAGTGGAGGCAATAGGAGGATAAAAAAAAGTTGATCAATGGGTAGAAATACATGATTTGATAGAAAAAATAACATCTTGTGTTAGATCAGTAGGGTGGCTATAGTTTACAGTAATCTATTGTACTTTTCAAAATAGCTAGAAAAGAAGAATTTGAATGGTTATAGCATAAGGAATATAAAAGTATTTCAGGTGATAGATATCCCAAGTTCACTGATCTGATCTTTACAAATTATATGCATGTGTCAAATCATCACATGTACACCAAAACTATGTACATGTATCATGCATCACTAATAAAAATTAGAAAGTGGAATTTAAAAATAGTTACACGTCTGCTGAAACATCTTACTTTAGCCTACAACATATAAATACGTATTTATTTGACAATTTTTATGTAGACTTTAAATATTTCTCCATTGATTGGAATAAACCTTTTTGCATAATCATATCAATAATGCATCACCTAAACCATCCAGTCATAAAATCTGTAAAGTGAAACAAGCACTTAACAGTACTTGTTAATTATCCCTTGCCCATCATTCTGTGAAATTAATTTTTTCTAATTTTCATAACATTTTTGCAATCCTACTTAAAAAGGCAATAATTATGGTGGCTCATCTCAAATTCTTGCAAAACACTTAAAACGCTTTTTATAGAAATAACTGTTTTCATGATTCTGTTTAATCAGTCCTATTTAATATCCTATTTAATATTATGTTATTAAATTGCAAGTTCAAACAGGCATAAAGAGTGAACATATCAAATACTGGAAAGAGAAACACAAAGGCACTTACCAATGTTTTTCATGTCTTATCAAGACATGAAAAAGATCTAACATAGTGAACTGGCTAAAGGAGGTCAGTTAGAGAAAATTCTACCATACACACTTCACTTATCAGTAAGTGTCAGGAAGTAAAAGATGTTAGGAAGTTAGGAAGTGTTAGGAAGTGTTAGGAAGTCAAAGATGACTAATAAAAGTCAATGCAGAAATAGGCTGTGGTAGCCTCAAATTCATCCTCAGTTTCAATTTTTACTTTTCCCTTAGCTAGCTGTATGCTTTGCACAAAGTATAATACTTAAAGCTTTGAACCTTTTTTCTCACCTATAAAATCATACATAATTATATATAACTTAGATTGTTATGGAGATTAAGTATGTTGATTACAAATAAAGTATGTAGAACAAGGTTTGGCATATCACCAGAGATCAAGAAACGTTTTTCTTTTTTTAAAATAAAAAATAGCCTTTGTCTTGAGGAGGGTTCTAGAATATATATTCAAAGGAAAAAAACAAAGTAGTACTGGGAGGATTTATTATATTTTAACTGTTTATTACAAGATTATGTCATTGAGTAGGACATAGTGAGATAGTCTTTTAAAGCATTGGCCAAGAAGAGGAAGGGAATTTGCCTCACTTACAATTTTCAGTACTAAGTCATAGAGACTAAGCATGTGATTGTCATGTGCTGCTCTTGAACATTAGGAACTGTACTTGATACATGGTTGTAAATATCTCTACTGGTACAGAGCAAGTACAGAAAACAAACCACCAATTGATGTTGGATGGAAATACTGTTCTATGTGGTAGTCAGATGTTCCAGTTGGATCTATCCTACAAAATATACACAATGTGTCTTCATATATGAGCAGGGCTAGCCTTGCCATGTCCTGGGCCATCCATGGCAATGGTCATCCTATAGTTACAGTTAATTAAGATGGACAACTGACCCATTCAGGCTAATTTCTTTCTTGCAAGCATGTGGAACTGGGATTGAGAAGTTAGCTGGGCACGGTGGCGTGCACCTGTAGTCCAGCTACTTAGGAGGCTAACGTCAAAGAATTACTTGATCCCAGGGGACAGAAGTTGCAGTGAACTGAGATCATGCCACTGCGCTCCAGCCTGGGCAACAGAGTGAGACCTTGTCTCAAAAAAAAAGAAAAAAGAAAAATTTTATGTAGTTAGTTTCATTTCACAATTCAAACTGGGAAGATATGCAAACTGATGAGATATAAAGCAATCCCATTCTGCCACTTTATGGAGAAGGAGGAAATGGCAGTGGCTAAGAAAGAATTAATGAAATGTCTATACATAGAGTGAAATACCTATTACTATATTCTTTTTTTATTATACTTTAAGTTCTGGGATACATGTGCAGAATGTGCAGGTTTGTTACATAGGTATACATGTGCCATGGTGTTTTTGCTGCACCAATCAACCTGTCATCTACATTAGGTATTTCTCCTAATGCTATCCCCCCTCCTTGTCCCCTACCCCCAACAGGCCCTGGTGTGTGATATTCCTCTCCCTGTGTCCATGAGTTCTCATTGTTCAACTCTCACTTATAAGTGAGAACATGCCGTGTTTGGTTTTCTGTTCCTGTGTTAGTTTGCGGAGAATGATGGTTTCCAGCTTTACCCGTGTCCCTCCAAAGGACATGAACTCATTATTTTTATGGCTGCAGAGTATTCCATGGTGTATGTGTGCCACGTTTTCTTTATCCAGTCTATCATTGATGGGCATTTGGGTTGGTTCCAAGTCTTTGCTATTGTAAACAGTGCTGCAATAAACATATGTATGCATGTGTCTTTATAGTAGAATGATTTATAATCCTTTGGTTATATAGTCAGTAATGGGATTGCTGAGTCAAATGGTATTTCTGGTTCTAGATCCTTGAGGAATCACTCAATAAACTAGGTATTGATGGAACATATCTCAAATAATAAGAGCCATTTATGACAAACCCACAGCCAATGTCTTACTGAATAGGCAAAAGCTGGAAGCATTCTCTTTGAAAACTGGCACAATACAAGCATGCCCTCTCTCATCACTCTTATTCAACACAGTATTGGAAGTTCTGGCCAGGGCAATCAGGCAAGAGAAAGAAATAAAGGGCATTCAAATAGGAAGAAAGGTAGTCAAATTGTCTGTTTGCAGATGACATGACTGTATATTTAGAAAACCCCATCGTCTCAGCCCAAAATCTTCTTAAGCTGATAAGCAACTTCAGGAAAGTCTCAGGATACAAAATCAATGTACAAAAATCACAAGCATTCCTATATGCCAATAATAGACAAAAAGAGAGTCAAATAGTGAGTGGACCTCCATGCACGATTGCTACAAAGAGAATAAAATACCAAGAATACAACTTACAAGGGATGTGAAGGACCTCTTCAAAGACAACTATAAACCACTGCTCAAAGGAAATAAGAGAGGACACAAACAAATGGAAAACCATTCCACGCTCATGGATAGGAAGAATCAGTATCGTGAAAATGGCCATGCTGCCCAAAGTAATTCAAAGATTCAATGCTATTCCCATCAAGCTACCACTGACTTTCTTCACAGAATTGGAAAAAACTACTTTAAATTTCATGGAACCAAAAAAGACTTTTCTGTTCCTGTGTTAGTTCACTTAGAATGATAGTTTCCAGCTTTATCCATGTCCCTGCAAAGGATATGAACTCATTATTTTTATGGCTGCAGAGTATTCCATGGTGTATATGTGCCACATTTTCTTTAACCAGTCTATTACTGGTGGGCATTTGGGTTGGTTCCAAGTCTTTGCTATTGTAAACAGTGCTGCAATAAACATATGTATGCATGTGTCTTTATAGTAGAATGAATATGGGAATAGCATTGAATCTATAGCCAAGACACTCCTAAGCAAAAACAACAAAGCTGAAGGCATCATGCTGACTTCAAACTATACTACAAGGCTACACTAACCAAAACAGCATGGTACTGGTACCAAAACAGATATATAGATCAGTGGAAAAGAATGGAGGCTTCAGAAATAACACCACACATCTACAACCATCTGATCTTTGGCAAACCTGACAAAAACAAGCAATGAGGAAAGGATTCCCTATTTAATAAATGGTGTTAGGAAAACTGGCTAGCCATATGCAGAAAACTGAAACTGGACCCCTTCCTTACACCTTATACAAAAATTAACTCAAGATGGATTAAAGACTTAAATGTAAGACCTAAAACCATACAAACCCTAGAAGAAAATGTAGGCAATGCCATTCAGGACATCGGCATGGGCAAAGACTTCATGACTAAAACACCAAAAGCAATGAAAACAAAAGCCAAAATTGACAAATGGGGTCTAATTAAATTAAAGAGCTTCTGCGCAACAAAAGGAACTATCATCAGAGTGAACAGGAAACCTACAGAATGGGAGAAAATTTTTACAATCTATCCATCTGACAAAGGGCTAATATCCAGAATCTACAAGGAACTTAAACAAATTTACAAGAAAAAACAAACAACCCCATCAAAAAGTAGGCAAAGGATATGAACAGACACTTCTCATAGGAAGATATTTATGCAGCCTACTATATTCTTAAATGAGGGAGATAGACTGCTTTGTTTCCTGTTTGTTTTCCAGGTCCCAAGTGTTTTGAGAGGCTGACTGTACTTACTACCCTTTCTTTATTACTTATAATCAATTCCCTCTTTTTTCTAAAGCTAGTTTGAGTGAGTGTATGTTTTTATCAATGAAAAGAGCTTTGACCAAGAACAGTTCATTATTTTACATGGAGGAGTGGTTAATATAATGACTCCCAGTGGTCAGGCCTCCTCAATCAAATGAAATGGAGGAGAAGCAATTATGTGAGACTCAAACAACAACAACAAAACATTAAATTATTTTGACAAGAAGTAAAAAGAAGAGAGAAAAACTACTTTTTCTAAGTTTAAGTAACCAGGCTATTGCCTACATAACAGATTTGATTTTCCCAGAGGGTTCCAGTACATAAAAACATCTGGAATCAGAAGTAGTTAGATGTATTGGAAAACAGATTCTATATTTAGAAAAGATGTCATTTGTGGTTAAGCTAAAATGCCACTGACAGTAAGATTCTGCAGTGTGGAAGAATTCATAGAGGCCAATGCTCTGAGTATCTCACCAAAGACTAGTTGGTGGTAATAGACAAGTGCCTCTTATCTCAGAGCCCTCCTTGTTCCCCAGAGCCAGAGACAAATTCATGTTATAGCAGGACTTTAGACACGTCTTACTGAATGCAAAATTTTCCAGATTTTTAAGATCCTTTCCAGATCTCACGTCAAATTTCTCATGTGACTTAAGGATCTTTCAAGCTTATAGACTGGTTCTACTCACACTTGCAGTTTATATTTCTCAAGGACTGATTGATTCATTTCACAATCATTTATAGACCAATCTTTATATGACCAGTTCACAGCCAGGTCTTCAAGAGGAAGGTATAGAAGACAGTCTTTTCTCTCAAGGAATTTGAGTCAAGTAGACAGAAAAGTAGAGAAACAAATGCAATAAAAATGACAAAACATATGTGAGTTTGAGCACTTTGAAACAGAGAAAAAGGGCACCTACTTCATTTTGTGCAGGGGCTGGGGGAATGAAAGATTTGTGGGAGAGAGAAATCATGAATGAGTCTTTATGTTTGGGAAAACAGTAGTTTCCAATCAGAGGACATAGCATGTGGGCAAAGTCATGAAAAGATGACAGAACAAAGCACGGGGTATCTGGAAGTGAAGAAGGAGTGATAAAAATAGGCTGGAGCCTAAGGCAGAGATGAGGTCTGGCAGGGGTTTATAGACTATGCTTAATAATTGACATTTTTGTCTTAGAGACATTGAAGACAGGATGAAGTATATATACAGAGAAATGACATGTTCAGGTTTCATATATGTCATGTATTTTTATATTAAATAATGCGGTAAAATAATAGTTGCCATTTATTGAGCCTCTATAATTAGATCTCAAAAGAATAACTAATATCCAGAAAACATTGGGTAAGTCACTACTGAGTGGTTTACTAAATTTTGCCGAATTGACTGGAAAATACTTCTTGGAATGAGAATTGAAATTTGTATCTGAGTTCCTGTCCTTTGTATTATAACATTTGCTTTCTGATTCAGAATCTAGGTTTAGTAGTTCAACTCCAGTGTCTCTTTAATGTGTTATTCTCGAATGTTGTGCTGACACAAGTTTTGGGGCTCATTTAGGACTCAAGTCTATTGCCTATAATCACAAAACAATTTTTTAAGGGGGAGAAACCTCTGGTGGTATCATACGTCACTACGTATCTACATTACACCCCAAAAAAGTCTTCATGTGCCTCTATTATATAACTTTTTGTTTCCCATTAAACTATATTTTATTTGAAGGCAAGAAATATGACTTATTCTTTTCCATAATAAAGATTAAAAAATTATTCACACTTGACCAGTCTGTGTTCTAGGCAGTTCGCATTAAAAAATAATGATCAATTCACCGTATGAAGTAAGTAAGGTTTCTGTTTTAAAGATAAGGAAAGTAAGATACCAAATACTTCAGAATAGTCTAAGGCCACTTATCAAGTAAGTGCTGGATTCAAGGTTTGATTGCAAGCTCAATGAATCTCTCATTTGTAATCATGTTTATTTCACCATGCTTGGCAGATGGTAGCACTTAGTAATTATTTGTTGATAAATGAATGAGTGAAAAATTTAGTTAATCCATCACACTTTGAAAATAAACAGTTTTTAAGTAGTAGTTATTCTCCCAAAGTTGTTTATGTGACTTCTGTAATATCTAAACACACAAGTGACTTAAACTAAACTTGAGTAAAAATGAGCTTAATGTATGTAAACAAAATTGTCCATGCAGTCTGAGCATATATTTTTGCCAAATGCTATCATTTGAATGTGTCTCCCAAAAGTTCATGTTTTAGAAACTTAATTTCCAGAGTTATACATTGATAGTATTTGGAGGTGGGGCATTTGGAAGACAATTATTGCTAGATGAAATCATGAGGTTGGGGAGCTTACAATGGGATTATTGTCTTTGTAAAGAAAGAAGAGGCCTGAGCTGGCAAGCTCTGCCATGTGATAACACTTGCCATGTCACGTTGTAGCAAAGACACCTTTAGCAGATGCTGGCACTATGCTCTTGGACTTTCCAGCCTCCAGAATGGTGAGCTATATAAACTATTTTTTATAAATTACTCAGTCTGTGGTATTTGCCTACTGTAACAGAAAATAATTTAAGACACCGAATAACTGGATCAAATGAGTATTTCCTTTCATTACCAATATTAGTTTTCTCTACAAGCATCCTAGTAATAAAGTATTCTAATCATCAGTCCTGAAACCACCAGTCTGGTCATATGCCATCATTGAGGTTCCATTGTGCTACATTAGATTGTCCTTGCAGGCATGTGCCAGGATTATGTAAAACTCTACTGCAAACTTAGGTGTGCTATCTCAAAAGCTTTTCCATCCCTCACTACTTACTCTGAACCACTTTCTCTTAATGTTCCTTGTTTTGTTTTCTGTTGTTTATAACCTCTTTTTATGCATTGTCTCCTCTCCTTTTTTATCTGGACCTCTGATTTGGATCCAGCATCTACATTTTATGCCAGCATAGCCTCTGTATCACACCATTAATGCTTACCCTCCAGTTGCTGCCGTGAACCAGTCTAACCTTAGGTCTCAGAGGATCAGTGAGTGGGGACTAGTTATCATCTTGCCTCCATTTTCAAAGCAGAGAGACCATGTTTCTAAAACTTGTTTTTTAATTGTTGTATTAGTTTGTTCTCACACTGCTGTAAAGAACTGCCTGAGACCAGGTAACTTAGAAAGGAAAGAGGTTTAATTGACTCACAGTTCCACATGGCTGGGGACACCTCAGGAAACTTACAATCTTGGCAGAAGGTGAAGCAAGACACCTTCTTCACAAGGCAGCAGGAAGAAGAATGAATGCAAGAGAGTTACCAGACACTTATAAAGCCATCAGAACTCATGAGAACTCACTCTCTATCATGAGAACAGCATGGGGAAACTGCCCCCATGATTCAACTACTCCACATGGTCTCTCCCTTGACACCTGGGGATTATGGGGATTACAATCAAGATGAGATTTTGGGTGGGGACACAGCTAAACTATATCAATTATATATTCCTGATTAGCTCACTTGCTCTATCAATATACTACGAGAATTGGTTTTCAGAAGGTTTAGTGTACATAATCCAGGTATCAGAAATTGATTTGCACTCTGATTCAGATAATGATGTGCTTCATTGTCTCTCTTTATAAAATAAGGTTAGAAATTCCTGTTCTACCTATCCACAGGTGCTTTTTTATTAGTGATATAGCATATGTAAGGTCACATTGAAAGCATCTTTTAGGAGTAAGGCTAAAAAATAGAATGTTCAATTAGACTATCAAAGGAGAAGAGTTTAAGCAGGCTATATTTTTTCATATACAAAAGATGCGTTTTTTGTTAATAATGTGATGAATGCTGGAGTCTTTATAAATCAAATATAAAATTAAATAATAAAAAATAAATATAAATTTAAAAGAGTAGAGACTCTCATATTAAATTTTAACTACTGAAGATATTTTTTCTTATAGTGCTTTGGAAACCAAATATATTTGTGCCACCACCTCACACTACTGACTGGAATTAGACTCAACCTAATAGGAACACTGAGAACTGAAAGCAATTATCAATGTTTCTTTTTAAATTGATAGAAATAGTGAATGTTACTTTATACTTGTGTGTGTATACTTGCAATTTCCTCTCTAGTGTATTATAATTTACCTTTTCTGTTTTATGGAATATAGAGCATTATTTAAAATGTGGTTATTCTCAAGACTAAGAATTGTAATAGCTGGACTTCAAGTTTTACAGCTTAGAGCTTAGTGGCTTAACGCTTGGTAAATAAGCACCTCTCTGAGCCCTTTAAATAGTATTTAAGCTGAGTTAAGTTTATGAGTTAGCTATAAAATTATAATTTGGCTCTGAAGAGGAAACCTCATTTAGTGGCACTCAACAAACTAATATAGTGACCCTAAATCCCAACCTGACTGTTTAGTTATTACAACACACCACTATGAAGACTATTAACAGGCCTAATTAAGGCATCAATCACCTCTCAGAACCTCAATAACCTTACAATAACTCTTTTTATGGCATTTTTAGCAATTTGCTCTAATGCACGAGGGCCATATATAAATGAATTGGATATTAGGGGCTCTGATTACACGAGGCCATTTGGCAAGCATTCCCAGCCCCCTACACTTTCACAAGCTCGCTGGGAAACAGACCAGAATACCTTCTAAGACGGACAGAGTAGAGCCTGAGCTAGTCTTCATTTAACACAGCCCAATATGCTGCCAGGTTTTTAGGCTTGTGTAGGCAATCAAACAGAATACTATAGGCCATCGGACATTTCCACATTTTAAAGACTCCTTTTTTTTGTTCACGCTGCACTATCCAGAATAGCTGTCTACGTGGAGCAAATCACCTATTGCAACAGCCACTTTGTATGCAGCTGTGTGGGCAAACTTTCTAAAAAGCACATTAACACTTTTGACCTATTGTGTTAACGGACCTGACTTTCTCAACTGAGTATCTCTCTGGTAAATCAAACACGCTTTACTAAGACAGGCTTAAGGGTAAGATATTATTTGGTGAAACTTCAGTGAGAGTATACGCTTCAGTTTATCCTGTTGTAGGTTTTGGTATGTTCTAAGTGATTTTTCAAGAGGGAAATTCACAAGAGGGAAATTAACAGATATTTTCATATCCCTTTGGCTTGCTGCTTCATAGGTCAGCAGGGTGTCAGTGAGGGAGAAGAAAACAGGTTGGAAGTTAATGGCTGTACTGGAAGAAAACCAGCTTCAACATCTCAAAGAGAATATAATTTTTATGACTACGCAGGGGATGGAGTTAGCAGATCCAGAGGATGGTACTGGTGAAGATATGATTAATAAAGTGAGGACTTAAAGCCTAACCTGGTACTACCAACTGATTGCTGGGGTCATGGCACACATTGCACACTACAAAATAAGAAACACATCATAAGATGTGACATGAGGAATTAAAAATCTTCCTAAACTTGTAGTCTTCCAAAAGTTAGTTACTTGGTTTGCATTTCTCATGTTAGTCATTCACTTGAATTAGTGTATTGGAGTTCAAAATCTAAAGGTGTTAGCCTTTGAGGGATAATTTTTAATTCACATTTAGATATTTCCGTATTTGAGTGAATTAGCTAAATACTTCTCAAATAAACAAGTTCATGAAGACATAAGGCAGGGATAGGGCAGTTTTGAAAGAGGAACTAGGTTGGACTTATGGGAAGAGATGTCTAAGATGTTTAATATCCAATTCATTTCTATTGGAAGAGATGTCTAGATGTCTTGATCATAGGCAAACATGGGAGAGGACAAACTTAATGTAGAGAACTAAGGAATTAAGAGACAGACTTTCCAGAGAGGCCTCCAAATATGCAGGATATCAGTGAGAAAAAAATGCTAATGATTTTTGTTGTTTAGTTAAGATAACTTAGGTGCTGTAGCCAACAAATCCTGAAAGAATATTTAAAGGCTCAAACGTGACAATTCATTTATTGTATACATTAAGTCCAAAATGTTTGCTCTTCATTGACAGGCAGCTTTCCTTTAATTAATAATTTAGGGACGTTTACCTCGAGCTTCACCAACTTTGGAAGCACGATTTCAAAGGTTACCAAACTCAATTGCAACAAGTGGGTGCAAAGGGAAAGGTGTTGGAGACATATAAATGCAAAGGAGTCTAAGAAATGGGCTTAGTGAGAGCTCAGTGATCTCTGCAATGCTGGCATTTTCCTGAGCCCTGGTCTTGATTCTGTGTCTTACAGTCTCTGGCATTCTAAAGTAGGTGATAATGAGGCAGAAAAGGATGTACAGGCTTAAAACAGACAGGCTACATAAAGTAGGTGACAAAAGGAGTGAAGATGTTTTCTTGTTGCTCAGCTTTCATCAAAATCAAAACAAAAATTGCATTTCTGCTTGTTGGTCTAGAAAGAATTGATATTCGAGAAATGAGGGCTGTCAGAACCAGATTGGAGTCTCCTGCTTTGTTGATTTGCACAGAGTTATTATATAAGGAACTGAGACCACATAGCTCCATTAAATGTGTATAGAAAAAGAGTCTTGACACCCCTGATCTTCTCCTGTCCCTGGCTATGCTAAATTTATCAGTGATTAAATTTATTTGATGGTTTTCTTAGTTAAAACACAAAAATTATTAAATCTACTTCTATCTGAATCCAAAATATTATGGGGATTATGTGGAATTATTTCATTTACTTCACAGCTGGGGGACTTAGACGGGCTATAGGCTCAGTCATGTATTCTAACTGCATTGGTCTTTAAAGACTAAATAATCTGGAAAATGTGATTCTTAAAGTACAGAGGGAGATAACCAAACTGGCTTTCCACTAAGTTTTTAAAAAATATTCTGAGTTGGCTGAAATCCCCAGTTTACACATTTGCTTCTAGTGAAAGCACTTTTGAAAATTATCAAGCCTGATGTTGGGTACTAACACCTGGAAAATAGATATGTGATATGCACCCGGTATCTTCATTTAAGGACCCTAAACCCTTATGTTCACAAGTTCCAGGTATTCCTGGGACTAAGAACTACACCAGAACATCAAGACATTATAAAATTTAATTCCCTATGAAATGAAACAATAGGAAAAATAACATCTTTTCTATGGTTAATTCCGTTTGTTAATAAAAAATTGTTTTTTGTTGATATTTTTTACATGGAGCATTCAATCTCTACAGCCAAATATTGTTACTGTTGAGTTATGTCAAATCGGTGCCTGATGTTGCATCCCTAAATGCTTTTGGAGAACATTATGGTGAAGTTGATCATTAGAGCTTAAGGATCATCATTCATTTTAAACCAAAGCTATAAAAAGCATGAAATGTCCACAGTGATGATCAGCTCCTTGAAAAGATGTGAGGATACTGGTGCATATTTCTTTAAATTACTCAGTCAATTTTAAAAGAGAAATATTGTTGCTATTTTCATCACTTTTCTTCATAAGGGATGCTTCTATACTCATAGCATAAGGTGACTCATCAAAACTTTGTCACAGTGAGTGGTCAGAAGGCATACGCCAGAACTCCAGCATTATCCAACAGCTGTCACTTCCATTTAAGGGACCAACGCATTCTCTCATGGACACTTCCTGGGGCAGCCTTTTGCAAATTGCTCATCTAACAATCGAGAAAATGAGGAAGGTGTTTACTTCAAAATAATCTTAGAAATTGACAACATGAAATGGTAAGTTTGCCTTTTAGCATTGCTTAAGAATGTGATTTTCTCTTATTTAGTAAATTAGTTCAGATTTTTGAGGATTTTGTGATACCATTTCTTTCTTCAGGTTATAAAGAGTATTTGCTATTTATATTCAGCACTTTCTTGGCCTGTAATGTGGTGCAACATACTGATTTATAAATCAATAGATTATACTATTGTTAAGTTAAAAAAAAGCATTTCTACCTTCATGCCATATTTTTAGCCTTGCACTATAGAGAAGTAGACTTACTGGATTTTTCCCTCCCATGTAGAAGAGTGTATTGGTTAGGAAATATATTCCCCTACGAATAAAAAAGACATCACCACCACACACAAAACAAATGTTGCTTAAAAAAGTATGGAATTTATGTTTTCCTCTAGTAATGGATAAGTCACAAAATAGTACAGATACCGTGGTTTCATGTTGTTATGGCCTAGGTTCCTCTCATATTCATTCTCATGAAATGATTGCTGTGGCTCCAGCCAACACATTTAGGTTCTGGGATAGTAGAAATAAGAAGGCTAAGTATAAAAGCTGGTACGTTCTTAAGGCATGACATTGTTTTAGAAAAACTTCCTGCAAGCCCTGCTTGTAAGTCTCTTGTAAGACTGCATAGCTCAGAAGCCTGTCCCATAGACATCAATGCCTCAGATGGGACTGGTAAATGTTGCTTCTAAACTGGGCACATTGTCAGTCTCAACAATATCTAGGTAATGTCATTAAGAAAGGAGTGAAGAATGAATATTTTATTAGTTTTAGAGATGAGATCTTGTTATGTTGCCCTGAGTAGAGTGCAGTGGCTATTCATAGGCAGAATCACAGACCACTACAGCCTTGAACTCCCGGGCCCAAGTGATCCTCCTGCCTTTGCTTACTAAGTAGCTGGACTACAGGGACGTGCCACCACGCCCAGCTTGGAGAATAAATATTAGTAAGCGGCCAGTAGTCTTTGTCATGGGTTTACTGGGAAATTTCTGCTCATCTAGCTTTCCCCACTTCCACCCGCTTTCAATCCTTTTTCCAGAGAGGGAGGACTGGCCAAGGTGATTGGTCAGAGATTACAATTAATCCATTTTACTAGGAGGCAGAATTGCAGGCCTTAAAAGATCCAGACTCACTTCTTGAATCCTCTCACATGTCCTGTTACAAACAGATAAATGGATCAGGAGAACTTTCTAAACCAGATTCACAGAAGTATTCTGTTCCAGATCCTCTGCCTATTCCTGAGTAGGTAAAACACTGTGCAGGCTCAGTTTTCTTTACTGGAAGAGAAATGGGACAGGAAACCCAATCTTAGTGTTAGACCTACAAAAAGAAGGTACATTTTGAGGGTTATAGGTGGCTTGTCCAGATTTGTCAAGTGGAACAATAGTTCTCACTTGGTTATACACTTTTATATGTGTATCTTCCATTAGTCAGGACGCCAAAGGGAAGGAAGAGAGATGAGATGCATCACGAACCTCCCAGAGAAAGCTTTTATCTTAGCCAAATCTTAAAAGCTGCATAATTTAGAGTATTAGCCACTTGCCAGTTTGCTTGTTCCTTTCCTACTTTTCTTACACTCCTGCTCTGCCTCCAGCAAGCAGTCTTCTCATGATCTCTCTCGTCAAGGAAGCTCGTCCACGTAGACTATCTGGGCTCAGTGCTTGAGCTCCTGCCTGTGTCTACCAAGTTATAATTATTCACTTATTTTTCCACTAGATGGATGGTTTCTTAAGGACAAAGACCATAGTGGGACTCTGAATCTTCAGGGACCAGCAAAATTCTTGGTCCATAGCTGACAATTAATGGAAATTAGAGTAATTGTTATTCAACATAAGAATGGAAACTAATAATCCTGAATCACAAATGACCTAATCAGATCACAGGAAGCTTATGAACTCAGCAGAAGTCAAAATCTTTACTTGTAGCAGTGGTTTATAAAGTATGGGTCAGGGAGAGCCATGACAGTACATTTTAAACAGGTGTGCGTCAGAATCACTTATGTTCAGTCCCGCATTCAACACTTAGATTCATATTTAATGGATTTCAGATAGGACTGAGGATTTTGTATTTTTACAAGGACTCTCCTAGGATTTTGCTTCACAAACTGGATTGAATGAGTCAGAGTGTGAGCTGTGGTCAACAGGTTCTACTCTGTCCCCTGTGGGCAGCTCCATTTTGGTCTGCTTTCTCAGTGTTGGCTAGTAAAATCACCTGGGAGCTTCCAAACTCCATATGTGCAAACAGCACCCAGGAGAATAAAAGCAGAGTCTTGTGGGAAGAGCCTAGACCTCAGTAATGAGTAAAGCTCTTGAGGTCATTCAAATGAGTAATCAAAGTTGTGAGTCAATGACATATATAAATTCTGTAAGAACTTTCACCTACTGCTACAAAACAACAGTAATAGAATAAAACATAAGCAAATAAATTAAACTCTACAGGGACATTTTAGTAGTTTACACACGCCTAAATTCATGTCAGCTAGACACTTCTTAGGCATTAAGCTACTACTTCATTCCAGGTACCTCTTGCTGGCTTGCTCCGCTCTTTAGTGCATACCTGTTCTCCTCATCTTTGACTCTCTCCTCCTTACCCTGCACTTTAGATTTTGTGAACTTCTGAGTTTCATTGGTCTCACATTAATTCTGACGTTTTCTCTTTTGACCTGCTTCCTTCACTTCTTCACATGACTTCCTTTTACCTCGAATTACCTGACTCCTTGAGTATTTCACCTTACCATATTCAGCTTTTTCTCTAAATTCACAGCTTCTTATTGTGATATAACATCACATTTTGAACAATATTAACCAAACATTTGTAGGATCCCAACTAGGTGCAAATCGAGTAGATGAAAATTACTGTGAATTTTGGCCAGGTCCGGTGGCTCACGCCTGTAATCCCAGCACTTTGGGAGGCCGAGGCGGGTGGATCATGAGGTCGGGAGATTGAGACCATCCTGGCTAACACGGTGAAACTCTTTCTCTACTAAAAAAAAAAACACACAAAAAACAGCCGGGCGTGGTGGCGGGCGCCTGTAGTCCCAGCTACTTGGGAGGCTGAGGCAGGAGAACGGCGTGAACCCGGGAGGCAGAGCTTGCAGTGAGCGGAGATAGAGCCACTGCACTCCAGCCTGGGCAACACAGCGAGACTCTGTCTCAAAATAAAATAATTGTTGTGACTTTCAAAACAAAGATTTTTTTTTACACATTCCATTCCTTTGTCTTGTTTTCTTTCATGCACAAAACCAGCCAGACCATTGCTGGGGCTCTTGCCTTTGGATGTCTCCTGTCCTTGTATTTGTTATATTTCCTGTGGCCTGCTCTTTCAATCCTCAGGAATGCTTCACATCAGTGAATATTTACCGACAAAGTTTACTGCTTACACAAAGACATAAATCTTAATGCCCCAGGGCATTCCTGTCCTCTAATGTTCATTAATTCCCGGCCCATTGGATGTCTGCACATGCACAGTTCAGTCTCTGCTTGTCGTTAGACTGCCTATTCCCTGACAAAGCCCCTCCTCCCTCAGCCTCATGCTCTGTTTTTAATGCTGCACCCCCCTCTCAGAGCAGGCATTTCATGTTTCCTCTCCTCTGTGGCAACCACTTGGCTGATTGTTTTTCACAATATCTTTTCATATCCTTCACAGGATTTCCCTCTAACAAGGCACTGCCACTAATCTTCTCCGTATAATCACATAGTAGTGTCTTTTCCTTCCAAGAACACCATTTTGCAATGTGATTTCACTGCTCAAATCACTGTGAATAGTCCATCTTCACCAAGGACTAACTCCTGGGTCCTTTGAGGCCCTTCATGAGATGATTTATTGCCCTACTGCAGGGAACCTCTGCTCTCCTCATGGTAAGCATCATTTCCTGAATCCAGCACAGGCCTTTCCAAGTCTGAACTGCTGTTTGTGTTGTTCTCATGGACTGCTGTGCCTGCTGTGTAAATCTTATTCATCTTTTGTGTCTAATATGTCACTTACTGACTGAAATCTCCTCCAATCATCACAGTTGAGTGTGTTCTGTCTTCTCTGAATGCAAAACACTCATTTCCATTCCCATGGCATGTATTATTTATTTCCTTGCACTGTAAATTATTTATGTATAGCTCGTCTTCATTAATAGCTTAATTTTCTTAGATATCAAGAAGCTTACTCATTTTTATATGTCCTCCTCCACTCCTACACCATAATCACCAGCGCACTAGCCTTGTCCATAGTAGGCTCTGGATAATTATTCAATTATGTTCAAGAATAGATTAATTATTAAACTTTTATCCTCCGAATAGAGTTGATGTTTGTATTAGGAAAAAAGTGCCTCTACTTTATAAGGTATTTGCATCTCTCTTTTTCTTTTCTCAAACATAAAACTGTTTGAATTCCAAATCGAATACTAGCATCCTGGAAGGAAATCACTGAAAAGCAATGGTGTAAAGTGAGGCTGTTTAGACATTCAAGTCCTACACAGCCGAATAGAACTTCTAAGCAAAGAAATTAGCTGTGAGATGCATTTAAATATGAATATAGTTGAAATATTTGTGCAAAAATCAGGGAGACTGAATGTTGACTTCTAGGCAGGATTAAGATGGGAGTATTAAATGTACCATATTAGGGAAACTAAGATATACATTGGCGGGAACGTTGAAACTCTTGTATGAATTTAAAATCTTGGGGCCAGATTATTTTTTCTAATGAAATGTATTGACTATTTCATAATGAAAACTGGAAAATATGATGCAAAATATGTGTTAAGTAATGGGTTTATTTACCTAAAACCCTCAGGCGTTGAGGTAAATGATACACCATAGAGTAGAAATAAATTATTCTGAATAGTTTAAGATCTTTTAGGAAATGCTGTTTGGGAAACTGATTTCACATGAACTTACTGAAACCCACTCCCCACCCCACCCCCCACTCACACACGCACACACACACACACACTCTCTCTCTCTCCTACCAATAAAATCAATAAATATAAATATAGTACACTTTCAATTACTTTACAATTTGTGATCCAGTATTCTTTGGTCAGTTTACGTTTTTCATTCATACATTCTTCTCATCACTGCCAGTTTCAAATAGACTTTTTTTCTTTATATAATGTAGACATTTAGTGGCTATATTTCTGGAAGTGAGTCTTCATCCAAATGTAAAGTTTCCTTTTTTATTTTAAAAAGCTATTTTTTTTCTAATGCCTTTTGGGTTTTAAGACACTCTCAAAAGCACAATTTCCATGCCCAGGTTATCTCTTTTCTCTTCCTACTAACAATAGTTCAATACTAGATCTGGTTATACAATTCCCCAGCTTTTAAAAATGATTTTAACACATTTTTTCAATAATATCTTCTCATCAGCTTTTACCATTCCTTACTATTTCTTTTTCCTGTATCACATTTCTAGGTTTCTAACAATCCCTAGGAGATGTGACTCTGTTGATTCTGAATTTGAAATTATTCCAATAGAGTCACATACTACAGAACTTTGTGACAAGGAGATCTACTGTTTTGGGAAAGATTTTTGAATTTGCTTTATACCTAACTTAAAGCCCCATGTCTATTGGTAAAATAAGCAAAGTTCTGAAGTTGAAAATATTTTAAATGTAACACAACTTAGCTATAAATAGAACTGACTGTTTTCCTAGAGTTCTTATAGAGAGAAAAGCTTTTTTTTCTTAATTTTTCTTTTTCTTGAGTTATTAAAAGTTATCTTGGCATTTGACTTAGGGCTTAGCAAGGAATTTTGTATACAATTTGCGGAAAACTGAGATACTTTAATATAGAGTATTTGTCACCATAAAATGGTTTTCTGTATTTGAGGTTTCATTGATTGATTCTTGCAGGTCTTGCTGAGCTAAAAAGTAAATATTGACAAATAGAACATCCCAATTATATTCTCTGCTAAAACTAAAGTAGTGAGAACATTCTTACATAGGATACTGCAGTATGTTCTGTTGCACAAAACCCTTTGAAATATGAAGAAGGAATGCAAACGGTAAAACAGATGTACTAGATTACTCCAGTAAGAAAGAGCAAAGAAATCTTCATAAGTAAAAATAGGTCCACGTTTTTGCGCTGTAGGAGAGAAAAAAATACTGTTCCCTCCTAGTACCCCTCTCTTAGGCCCTGTAAATTAGACTGACAAAAACAAAAACAGATTAACAAGAGACAACCAAACACCAATGTATTAACCTGTGCATCCTGCTTACACATGGGAGCATTCTGCATGAGCAACTAAAAGGAGTAGAACTTGGGCTGATAGAGCATCTTAACAAAAGAAAAATAAAAGTTTAGAGAAGTGACAAAACAAAGGAAAGAACTTTGCACTTCTAAGGGCAGCAAAGTGTGGAAAGCAACTACACGGGGAGACTAGTAATGGTAAGAATCAGTCAAGTTTATTATGTAGATTCCTCTGGTGCCATCTCTGGGCTGATAAGGATCTAGAGTTGTTTCTAGTGATTAACTTTGGTCTCTGTAAGCATTACAGGAACTGGCATTCCAGTTTCAAATGTTTTATTAATGCTTTATGGCTATATAGGATTAATTGAGACTGGTCTCTTCCCAGGATGTAGAGTAGAATAGTTTTATGCCCAGAACAGCTATCTGGAACCCATGCACTTCTATATTCTTTGCAGCAGGCACTGACCAGAAAAACAACAAAGAAATTGGCACCATTAAAACATGGTTCCCCCACCTCTGCTTTTTTGCTACTGATTATCAAGAAACATTTGTAGAAGAGAAGAGGATGCTCTACCAAATATTTTTGCAGTATTCTTTGTAGCCATGAAGCTATCTCAACAAATAGATTAAAGCATGTGGAAAAAAAAAAAAGAGCAAATTTTGCTCCCATTCTAAAAACTCCCAAATGCATATTGCAAACATCACTTAAAATTTATACCATCCATACTTTCTGTTATTGTTTACCTATTCAGTGCCAAACAAATCATGTCCTACAAGCAATAAACGTCACTGTATCCTTCTACAGATGCCAAGGAGTAAGTTGAGACAATTCCAAGATATGCAGTGCCGAGCGGTGGACGTAGTGCCTAAACGTAAGCAATTCATTTTAGAAAAAGGCATTATCCACTGTGAGTTATAATCATAGAATTATAGAATATTCATCACTGTATTATAGAAATGCCACCTGAGCAATAAGTGTTTTATTGGGTCTGAGAAAAGCAGCACTTTTATCCTTGAATTTTGTGTCCAGATGTCGCACAGACCTGCTGTCCAACATGGTAGCCACTGGTCATGTTGGCTCTTGAGTCCTTGAAATGTGGCTAGTCCAAATTGAGACATGACATAATTATAATTCACACACAAGCTTTCAAAGACTTTGTACAAAAAATTTGTAAAATATCTCATAATTTTTATATTAATTGAATCTTGAAATTAAAAAAGCTTGGATATGTTAAGTATATATACTATTAAAATTAATTTACCTGTTTCTTTTTAATATGACAACTAGAAACTGGAAGTTTACATATGTGCTTACAAAGACTCTCTTCTTTGGATAGAACCTTTAATTGAGCTCCTCTGAGTCCTCTACTTGACTAGGTCTGACCTCAGGCTTCCTTTTCTGTCCTTATAGAATACAGTTCAAGCAAAAATCTTGGTAAGGCAATTTAGGGAGAATCTCCCATGCTTGGTATGTAATTACTCTAGATACCTTATCACTCTGCTTTGCCTTCAGCATGGTTCTGTCAAGTCAATTTAGCTAGAAACCCCTTATCCTTGATGTTTCTGAGAAGAGAAAATATCACCTGGTGGCCATCAAGCAGACCCTCTGAGGCAAGACCCCTTATCTGAAGAATTCAGAGGTAATTAAACTTCCCTATTATTTAAAGCCATATCTAGTACAGGCTTCTTTCCCAAGAATTTCTAAGTAACTAGAATTTCTATACATCTCTGGAATGCAGGCATGTCAAAACTCATTGTGCAACCCTTGCTGATATCAAGGTACCAAAATGTCTACAAATGTAATAATTGACCATCACTTAGGTGACTAATATGGTACAAATTACCCTGAAGTTCCTGCATTAAGGTCCACAAACATGCCTAAAGAAAATGCACCGAGGCGTGCTCAGTCTTCTCTTGCATAAGCGCCCCACTGTACTCTGCTGCAGCATTCCTTCTAATAAAACTTTTCTTTTCAAACCTAAACCACTGTTGGTAAATTATTTTACCATCCATGAGCCAACCACTCTCTGCCCCCGGGACCCTGACACCTTGCCCAGAAGTTTCCTCTTAGTAATTTTGCATCCACTGACATTTACCCAGTTTCTTGGTTATAAATTCTCACTTGTTCTTATTGAAGTTGAAGTTAAGTCCAATCTATTTTCCCTATTGCAGGATCCCACTGCAGTGGTGCCTACATTTATCATCATGGCTCCTCTTGAATAAAATCTACCTTACCATCTTCAACAAATGTGTCATGAATATTTTTTACTTTAACAGTGTTTTGAATATTTCTATTGAATATTGCTGAGAGAAATTGAGCTATCCTTCTGTAAGATTCTCTTTCTGAAATTGATGTATACAGACATTTATAAACAATTCCTGATCATCACCAAAAGAGTTAGTGAGGTATTGGCAAAATCAAAGTTGGCATAATTTATTGTTTGCCTCTAAAGGTTTTAACAAGAATCTCCATAATAACCTAATGTTTTGAATTCATCATTATTAATTGTCACACAATTTCTCACCTTTCTCTTGGCCTGAATTCAACAAATTGCTCTTAGCTTCTTTAATATGATGCATAGTTAATAGAAAGGCAATGGAGAGAGCAAACTATGTAGTGATTTCTTGGAAACTGACATAAAATCCCTAGAGAAAACTGTGAAGGCCTCTTTATTCACCAGTTTCTTATCCAACTTGTGTAAACCACAACCATGTTCTATCTAAATATGGCCCATGTTTTCCTCATTGTAAACCAGGCTTGTGGATCAAATGATTATCAGAAGACCAAGGAGTCAAGAAGAAATAGCTACAGAAGATAGAAAGGACCAAGTTTAATCTTCCTGTAAATTCTAAATCCTGCAATGTACACATCAGACTGAACATACAAGATTAAAAGGTAACTGCCTCTACTGAAGAAGGGAGAGTCAATAGCCTTTGGAAAGATGCTCAGGAGGGAATCAGGTGGGGGAAGAGAGAGAAAGAGAGGAGATATTGATGAGAGGAACGCCTAGTACACCAGACCCACTAGTTCAGAGATATGTTAGGGATGTTGCCTCCATCCTCTCTCCTAACTCTCATATTGACTCATAAGAGCAAACAAAAGCCAAACTTGACAAATGGGATCTAATTAAGCTAAAGAGCTTCTGCACAGCAAAAGAAACTACCATCAGAGTGAACAGGCAACCTACAGAATGGGAGAAAATTTTTGCAATCTACTCATCTGACAAAGGGCTAATATCGAGAATCTACAATGAACTCAAACAAATTTACAAGAAAAAAACAACCCCATCAAAAAGTGGGCAAAGGATATGAACAGACACTTCTCAAAAGAAGACATTTATGCAGCCAAAAAACACATGAAAAAATGCTCATCATCACTGGCCATCAGAGAAATGCAAATCAAAACCACAATGAGATACCATCTCACACCAGTTAGAATGGCGATCATTAAAAAGTCAGGAAACAACAGGTGCTGGAGAGGATGTGGAGAAATAGGAACACTTTTACACTGTTGGTGGGACTGTAAACTAGTTCGACCATTGTGGAAGTCAGTGTGGCGATTCCTCAGGGATCTACAACTAGAAATATCATTTGACCCAGCCATCCCATTACTGGGTATATACCCAAAGGATTATAAATCATGCTGCTATAAAGACACATGCACATGTATGTTTATTGCGGCATTATTCACAATAGCAAAGACTTGGAACCAACCCAAATGTCCAACAATCACAGACTGGATTAAGAAAATGTGGCACATATACACCATGGAATACTATGCAGCCATAAAAAATGATGAGTTCATGTCCTTTGTAGGGACATGGATGAAGCTGGAAACCATCATTCTCAGCAAACTATCGCAAGGACAAAAAACCAAACACTGCATGTTCTCACTCATAGGTGGGAATTGAACAATAAGAACACATGGACACAGGAAGGGGAACATCACACACCGGGGCCTGTTGTGGGGTGGGGGGAGGGGGAGGGGGGAGGGATAGCATTAGGAGATATACCTAATGTTAAATGACGGGTTAATGGGTGCAGCACACCAACATGGCACATGTATACATATGTAACTAACCTGCATGTTGTGCGCATGTACCCTAAAACTTAAAATATAATAATAATAATAATAATAAAAAGATGCAGTGACTCACAAAAGTAGCTTCGCTCGCTTCAGGAAAAACTCACATATTTATTCAAGAACCATGAACCATTTAGCTTTCTTGAGTGTGAGTTCTGATTCTTGAGAAGTCAGGAGTTCTCAATAGCTCAGGCTGCTTGAGTCAACAAAGTTCATAAGAAAAAAGAAGAATGTGAACCAGAAAGAATGTATGTTGACCGGCTATTTTAATTCTATATGTGTGGAAATACTGCTTAAGGACACTAAATTTTAAGGACAAAAGTGATAAACGTATGTAAGAATTGAAGTTTCCGGTAGGGTCTTTCTAATATTTTGCTTGAAGGATCTCAGTAGCAAGCCATGTAAGTAACAGTGGGTCACTGGAAACAAATGTAAATCTGTAGTCCTCTGAGAATTGAGCTTATTTTTCTCTAAAAATTCTTTTGCAGGATTATGGATGTCTCGGTAATGCTAGTGCTATGTGACCAGTATAACTTGGCAGACACATCTCTCTTTTTGTCTAGAATAATGTCCTGTCAACTTGCTTCTGTAGATTCCAGCTTTTTTTCTATTCCTGGCACCCAGTGCTTGTTGTATTCCCATAACTGAGCCCTGTCTTTATTGAAAAAGAGATGATTCAGTTTAACGTGGAAGGTCCCAGAAGAAAGCAAGCAGGAGCAGGTGTGTTTTATCTCAAGACCTGCAGGCTGTCTTATGCAGTAGGCTCCTCCAGCAGCTTAGCCAGCTGTGCAGCACATATGGAGTAGAGGCCAGAAGTATGGCTCAGTACATGTGCCTATATTAGTAACCACAACTACAAACTGCCACTCTCAGCATCCACTCTTCTTGAAAATGGCTACACTGGAATGAGTTTTATTGCCTCATATCCACCAAAACACTCAAGCTCCCGATGTCTCCCTTTCTACAGGCAGAGCTTTCGGAGGTCTAGTCACCAAATAAACTGTTTATTTTGTGATAGCATTTATGGAATAAAAGAAGTGATCCACATAGATTTACATTATATCAAATAACTTGCTTAGTTGATTTTCATCTTAATTCAGGTGAAATTTTCATCTTAAGTCAGGTGAAATTGTCTCAGTGGTAGACCCTGAGACAAAGATCTCTCACAAGTCGTTTATTTGAAAGGTGAAGAAATCACTTAGTAGGGTTTGGGAAATTAGACAAGGCACATTATTAAGCCAGCTACTCGCTGTGTGTCAGTGAACCTTAATTCTGCTAGGGACACACTAAGAGCCAATGTGAAGATCATGCCTCTAATGCCACACAAGGGACATGGAGATTGGTGTATATTTCTCATCAACTCCCTGTAGTCATTGGTTAAGCACTGCTCCCAAGTGGTCCTAATCTCCAGCATAACTGACCCCACGCTTAAGTTGCTGAAGCTTGGTGACTAGCCAGAGATAAACCACAGGCAAAGGGAAAAAAAAAAAAACCCTGTTTCT
Organism: Homo sapiens; assembly: GCF_000001405.40. Classification (NCBI taxonomy): domain Eukaryota; kingdom Metazoa; phylum Chordata; class Mammalia; order Primates; family Hominidae; genus Homo; species Homo sapiens. The sequence goes on along the minus strand of NT_187531.1, from coordinate 25,470 downwards.
GGCAGCTGGAAGTCAAATGAGCCTGCACTAAAGTGGTAAAGACAAAAATATATAAGACACCTACAATTTTTCTGACAGTTATTCAGTTGAAAAACTGAACCTTTCAAGTAAGAAACTCTCTACACATTAAAGAATACACTAGGCCAGTCAAGTCGCTCTGCATTTTTTAAAGCCAAATTGACTAGATGAGGAATTTTGAACAGATTTACCCACACTCCTACTTTCATCTCTGCTTCTCTTTGCTTGTCTACAGAGGAAACAAATGGCTCAGAGGTTAATTTCTTTACTTTTTACAATAAGACTTTGCTGCTAAAGCTCTCCAGATTTCCCTGATATAATTAATTAGCCCTTGGTTTCAAACAAGGGCAAAATTGTCTAAATACTTATAGCCAGAGCAATATTTTGTAAAATTTGTCTGGTATCTCTCATTTACCCATTCTGCTTTCACCCCTCCTTGATCTCATTCCAAAGATGTCTATATTTTGGCTGTAGCTATTGGCTATAATACTTCCATAAAATTTCTTCCTCATATAATTTCCCATTTTATGGAGTTTCGCTGATCTAAAAATACTTTGCATGCAAGGGTTAATGGTTCACAGACTCTTACAGTTATTTCTCCCATATATATTTGAGGATTCATATGTAAATAATATATATGTTTTATATATATTATATATATACACACGCACACTGTTGAAGTATGCCATATAAATATATGCTATATATGTCTATTATATATAAATAGTTTAACTGTTGACATATACCATGTATATATACACATGAACGAGAACAATGATGAGAGTTAAAAACTGCAGGAGAACTCAGTTATGGGGGCTTTTTTTCTATATATATACATGCTATACTTCAACAGTATATACTGAAGAGAAATATATAGTGGAGAAATAACAGTGTAAGCATCTGTGAACCATTAACCCTTGCATGCAAAGTATTTTTGCTCACTAACATACTGGCATGGTAACATACATTGGGATACAGGGAGTTTCTCTAGCATCTTTCAAATTATATTATTTAAGTGTTCTCTTTCACATTATGGACATCAAAATATACTTCTTTGATCCATTTTTCTCATACTTGCCTGTACATAACCTTGTGTTTTCTACCAGCTGTTTCATGGCATATATTTTATATCTCTTTTTTTTTTTTTTTTTTGAGATGGACTTTTGCTCTGTTGCCCAGGCTGGAGTGCAGTGATGCAATCTCAGCTCACTGCGACCTCTGCCTCCCAGGTTCAAGCAATTCTCTTGCCTCAGCCTCCTGAGTAGCAGGGATTACAGGTGCCCGCCATCACACCCTGCCAATTCTTTTATTTTTAGTAGAGACAGGGTTTCACCATGTTGGCCAGGCTGCTTTCCAACTCCTCACCACAGGTGATCCACCCGCCTCAGCCTCCCAAAGTGCTGGGATTACAGGTATGAGCCACAACGCCCAGCCTGTATCTCATATTTCTAAATAAGATTCTTGCAAAATTAAATTTTGGAAAGCTGCTTCCTATATAAAAATATTTGTTTCCTTTATAGATTTCTTTATCAAAATGATTTATTGCTCAATTTTGAAAGCCTCATATTAAGTCTGAAATGGGTTGATATGTGTATACTGCTTTGATACAGATTAAGGAGCGAGGGAGTAACAATGGAAATGCCACCCCCTCATTTATTTCATGTTTAGGTAATCAAATTGCTGTCCACACAGACAAGGCAATCACAATATTTTAAACCACACTTTCAAATTTCCTGAGGCTTTTCCACTGAATCATTGTGGCCATGAGGAGCTGAATTTAAGAAGAATCAATGAGAGTGATAATGAACAATTCTATGAATGAAACTTTTCTGCATTTCTTTTTTGCTCTGAATTATAATGCACTCTTGGTAGATCCTAAAGTATTGTGTCTATTATGTCTATTTCAATCGCCATTCCCTGGAGGTTCTGAAGTCTGTGGCAAGGCCATCACGAAAACTAAAAGTTGAGTGTCTGAGTCCTTAACATTAAGAGTGGGGAAAAGTAAAGCCTGAGGAATCAATTTAAGGCCAACATGGGAAAAGATAACTATTAATCTCAGTAACATGGGAAGTAGTATTTAAATTCATAATAGCCTAAAGCACATTCTCAAACATAAAATGCAGCAAACATCATCAGGTGAGTAACATTCACCTAAGTTCCTCAAATATCTCATTAATCTATCATTGGAAGAAACAATGATATGCCTTAGGGATGCTCCTGAATATTTAGATTGATTTCTTTAAACACACACACACACACACACACACACACACACACACACACAAACCTCACAATGAAATATTTCATCTTTGGAGATAGAAATATAAAATATACATGATAGAGCATTTTTCCAGTTCTGCAGGTAAGGAACTTGGAAATCTCCACTCTGTTGTAACAAGTAAGGAGCTAAACAAACTGAAAAATCAACAACTCTTTTTAGATTTGAAAAGAAGTGACATCACAGGGCAAAATACTGTTCCCAGAATTGAAGTGACAGACAGGCAGATGCATAAGAATCACAACCTACCTGTACAGAAAGCTCCGTGGAACCAGTGGCAGGGTAAGAAACCTGGAACAGTAGTTGACGAATAGCTCTAGGCTCAGTGTGAGCAATACTGAGAGTTAAAAACTGCAGAAGGACTCATTCACGGCGGGGCAGGGGGTGAGGTGCTTCTGTCAGTTTTACCTCGAGAAACTTGACTGAGTCCTCACATTAGACATGAGGGGAAAATTCCCTTGTGCTCCCAGCAGGGAGTGGGGAAAGGAACCATTTTGAATTACGGGAGAGCACGCTGTTCTTCTTAAACAGGTGTGCCCTCAGGAGGAACTAGTTAACCTGAGTCTAACCTGCTGAATCTTATCAGACTCAAACTTCCTCTGGGAGGAAGGAAATATCTAACTCTAGCCTCTAGCTTTCCATGTGAGTAAAGGAAAATATCAAACTCTAGCTCACTCTAGCTATCCTATTCCACCTATAGAAGGAGAGAAAAACTGCAGAACACTTGTAAACATTCACAGTAACGAGGAATAGGCTCACTAAAAGACAGAGGCCTTATCACAGGACTATAAACTAATTTCTCTCCTCCCACACCTTAAAACCGCATTACTAACGACATATTTAGAGTAATTCATTTTACACAGTACATCCTGTTCCGCTATCTATCTTATCTGTCTAGGTATCTATTATGTATCTATCTATCTATCATCTATCTGAAAGATACACACACACACATACTCTAAATGGCAGAAAAGAAACAAACAAACAAACAAAAAACACACAGTTTGAAGAGACAGACACAGGGCAGGGATCTTGAAATTAACAGAACAGGAATTTAAAACAACTATGATTAACACGCTAAAGGTTCTAACAGAAAATGTAGGCAGCATGCAAAAACAGATAGGAAATGTAAGCAGAGAGGTGAAAAGCCTAAGAAAGTATCAAAAAGAGATGCTAGAGATAAAAAATAATGTGAACAGAAATGAAGAATGTCTTTGGTGAACTTATTAGCAGAATCAACATGGGTGAAGAAAGAAACACTGAGCTTGAGGATAAACTACCAAAACTGAAAACCAAAGGGAAAAAAAAAGGCTAAAATAGAATAGAACATCAAAGAACTGTGGCACGACTACAAAAGGTGTAACCTACACATAATGAGAATGCCAGATATAGTAAAAATAACAAAAGACCGTTTTCTCAAATTCCCCTTTATAATATCTTAGTAATTCCTGAAGAGTTAAATAAAGTCTCTGATATTTTACTTAAAAAAAGAAAACAGTAATAAGTACGGTCGATATTAATTCAACTGTATCAGCAATCACTTTAAACAACAACATTCTAAATGTACCAATTAATAGATAGGGAATGCCAGAATGGATCAAAAAATAATATGCAACTCTAGGTTGTCTACAATAAACCCATTTTAAATATAAAGACACATAAGATTAAAAGTAAATGAATGTAGAAAGATATACAATGCTAGTACTAATCAAATCAAGAGTAGCTAGCTGTATTAATTTCAGACAGAGCAGGCCAAAAAAACAGTTACCACAAATAAAGAGGGGCATTACATAATGATAGAGGGGTCAATTCTCCAACAAGGAATAGCAATTCTTGTAACAACACATCATTCTACCAATGCAGCATCAATATTCATGAGGCAAAAACTGATGGAAATGCACAAAGAAATAGATGAATTCACTATTTTAGTTGAAGGTTTCAACACCTCTCTATTAGAAATGAACAGATCCAGCAAGGAGAAAATCAGTAAAGATATAGTTAAACTGCTATGGTTCGAATGCTTGTTCTTCCCTTACCCCCCCAAATTCAAATGTTGAAATCTTAACACCCAAGGTGATGGTATTTGGAGGTGGGCCTTTGGGAGGTGTTTAAGTCATGTAAAGATATTGAGAGAAGGCACAGTCTATTAACCTAATGGGATTAGTGGCCTTATTAAAAGGGCTTTATAAATAGAAACTTTGCTCCTTCCACCATGTGAGGTCATTGTAAGAAAATGTGATCTGTAAGCTAGAGATTATGCACTCACTGAATTTGCCAGAGACGGTTACTTGGAATTTGCAGCCTCCATATTTGTGGGAAATAAATTTCTGTTGCTTATAAGCCACCCAGTCCATGACATTTTGTTATAGCAGTCTGAAAAGACTGAGACATGAGCCCAGCAACACCGTCAATCAATAGGATATATTTGACTACAATATATAGACTATTTCATCCAACAAAAGCAGAATATACACTTTTCTCAAGCTTACAGGGAACATTCAATAATACAGACCACATTTGGGGCCATAAAATAAACCCAACAAATTTAAAATAATAGAAATCACACAATGTCTGCTCTTAAACCAGAGTGGAATTAAACTAGAAATTAATAGCAGAAAGGCAGAAAATCCCAACATACATGGAGCTTATACAACACAACTCTAAATAACATGGGTTAAAGAAAAATCTCAATCGAAAATTTAATATATCTTAAGCTAAATAAAAATGAAAATACAACTTATCAAAATTTTTGGGATACAGTAAAAACTGTATTTAGTGGGAAGTTACAGCATTTACTGCACATATCATAAAGAAAAAAATCTAAAATCAATTTATCTAAGCTTCCGCTTTGGGAAACTAGAAAAGGAAGAACAAATTAAATACAAATTAAGCAGAAGAACATAAGTAATATAAATTAGAGCAGAAATAAATGAAATTAAAATAGAAAGTCAATAGAGAAAAATCAGTGAATCCACCAACTGCATTCCAGCCTGGGCAACAGAGTGAGACAGGGTCTGTCTCCAAAAACAAACAAACAAACAACAACAACAAAAAACCTCCTGGAACTGGTAAGCTATTATATCAAAGTTGAGTGATGCATGCAAGGAATAATATACAAAAATCCATCAGCAGGTGGCATTTGAGATTAACAATGCAACACAACTCACATTAGTACCCTAAAAAATGAAATATTTATATATGTCAAACAAAATATGTACAACATCTGTACGAGAAAAATGAAGAAACTCTAATGAAAAGAATCAAAGGAGAATTACACAAATAAGGACATATTTCACTTTCATTTATAGGAAGACTCAATATTGTCAAGATGTTGGTTCATCCCAACTTGTTCTGTAGATTCATTGCCATACCAATCAAAATCCTAGCAAGTTACTTTACAGATAAACTTTATTCTAAAGTTTATATAGAAGGACAAAAGACCCAGATTAGCCAACACAATAATGGAGAAGAACCAAGTTGGAGGATTAATACTACCCAAATTCAAGACTTACTATAATGCTACAGTAATCAAAACAGTGTGCTTTTAGCAAAATGATATTAAAAATGGATCAATAGAGCAGAATAAAGGGCCTAGAAATATGCCCATATAAATGTAATCAACTAATCTTTGACAAAGGAGCAAAGGCAGTACAATGGAGGAAAGACAGTCATTTCAACAAATCGTACTGGAACAATCAAATATCCACATATAAAAATAATAATAATAATATCTCTACACAGACCTAACATCCTTCATACAAATTGGCTCAAAATATCCCACGGGCCTAAATGTAAAACACAAAACTATAAAATTTCTATAAGATAACATAGGAGAAAATCTAGATGACATGGTTTGGTGATAGCTTTTCAGATATGTCACCAAAACTTGACCCAGGAAAGAAAGAATTGTTCAACTGGACATTATTAAAATTTTTAGAAAATCTACTCTGTGTAAAACTCTGTCAAGAAAAGGAAAAAATGAGACAGACTAGGGGATATATTTTCAAAAGACATATCTGATAAAGGACTGTGTCTTAGTCAATTTGTACTACTATAACAAAATACCACAGTCTTAGTAATTTATAAACAACAGAAATTTATTTCTCACAGTTCAGCCTCTGCTGCATCCTTCAGAAGGGAGGAATGCTGTGTCTTCACATGGTGGAAGATATGGAAGGGCAAGAGAGGATGAATGCTCTCTGAAGCTTTTATTATAAGAGTATTAATCCATTTCCAAAAGTCCCCAATTCTTAATATAACAAAAATGAGGACGAAGATTCAACATAAATTTCAGAGGTGACACCACATTCAAACCATAGCAGACTGTTATCCAAAATGTATGAAGAACACTTAGAACTCCACAATAAGAAAACCGACTAACTGAATTTAAAAAAAAAATGGACCTAAAACTTTAATAGACACCAAAAAATACAAAGCAATGACAAATAAGCACATAAAATAATGCTCCATATCATATTTAATCAAGGAAATGCAAACTAAAACAATGCGATACCACTACACGTCTAGTAGAATGGCAAAAATTTAGAACACTGACATCACCAAATGCTGGTGAGGAAGTGGAGCAACAGATACTCTCATTCATTGCTGATGAAATTGCAAAATGACACAACCACTTTGGAAGACAGTTTGGTGGTTTCCTACAAAACAAAACATACGCTCTATGATACAGCAGTCTCACTCCTGGTTATATACCCAAATGAATTGAAAACTTATTTCCACACAACACCTTACACATGGATGTTTATAGCAGCTATATTCATAATTTATTCATAATTATAACAACATGTAATCAACCAGGATATTCTTTAATAAATCAATGGATAAATAAACTGTGGTACATCCAGGATCATATGGAATATTATTCATCACTGAAAATAAATAGCTACCAAACCATGAAAAGATGTGGAGAAAACTTTAATGCATATTACTAAGTGAAGGAACTCAATCTCAAAGGCCTATATACTACATGATTCCAAATATATGACATTCTGGAAAGGGAAAAACACTGGAGACAGTAAAAGATTAGTGGTTGTCATGAGTTAGAGAGAGGGAGGGATTAAATAGGCAGCACACAGAGAATTAAGGCAGTGAAACTATTCTGTATGATACCATAATGGTGGGTACATGTCCTCCTATATTTGTCCAACTTGTAGAATGTATAACATCAAGAGTGAACCCTAAAGAGACCTAGCCTTTAGATAACAATGATGTGTTAATGTAGGTTCCTTAGTTTTAACAAATCTATCACTCTGATGGGGAATGCTGTTGAAGCAGTAGGCTATGTATATGTGGGGGCAGGGTGCATATGAGTATCTCTGTACCTTTCTCTCAATTGTTCTTTGTACTTAAAACAGCACTAAAAAAGTTCTATACCTACAGTCAACATTATATTGAACAGGGAAAAGTTGAAAGCATTTCCCTTGAGAAATGGAACAAGACAAGGATGCCCACTTCTATTCAACCACTTCTTCAACTATTCAACCGCTATTTCACCACTTCTATTCAACAGGGTACTGGAAGTATTAGCCAGAGCAATCAGACAAGAGAAAAAAATAAAGGGCATCCAAATCGGTAAAGAGGAAGTCAGGCTGTCACTGTTTGCTGATGATATGATTGTTTACCTAGAAAACCCTAAAGACTCCTCCAGAAAACTCCTAGAACTGATTTTAAAAATTCAGCAAAGTTTCAGGAGACAAAATTAATATACACAAATCAGTAGCTCTGCTATACACCAACAGCACCCAAGCTGAGAATAAAATCAAGAACTCAACCCCTTTCACAATAGTGGCAAAAAAATAAAATACTTACTAAGAACATGAAAGACCTCTACAAGGAAAACTACAAAACACTGCTGAAAGAAATCATGGATGACACAAATGGAAACACATCCAATGCTTATGGATGGGTAGAATCAATATCATGAAGATGACTGTCTTAGTCTGTTTTCACACTGCTGATAAAGACATATCAGAGACTGGGAAGAAAAAGAGGTTTAAGTGGACTTACAGTTCCACATGGCTGAGAAGGCCTCAGAATCATGGTGGGAGGCAAAAGGCACTTCATATGTGGCAGCAGCAAGAGAAAATGAGGAAGAAGCAAAAGTGGAAACCTCTGACAAACCCATCAGATCTTGTGAGAGCTATTCACTATCATACGAATAGCACAGGAAAGACCAACCACCATGATTCAATTACCTCCCTGAGGGTCCCTCCCACAACACATGGGAATTCTGGGAGATACAATTTAAGTTGAGATTTGGGTAGGGACACAGCCAAACCATATCAGTGACCATACTGCCAAAAACAATCTACAAATTCAATGCAATTCCCATCAAAATACCACCATCATTCTTCACAGAATTAGAAAAACAATCCTAAAATTCATATGGAACCAAAAAAGAGCCCACATAGCCAAAGCAAGACTAGGCAAAAAGAACAAATTTGGAGGCAAAACATTATCAGACTTCAAACTATACTATAAGGCCATAATCAGCAAAACAACATTGTACTGGTATAAAATCAGCTCATAGACCAATGGAACAGAATAGAGAACCCAGAAATAGAGCAAAATACTTACAGCCAGCTAATCTTCAACAAAGCAAACAAAAGTGGGTACAGGACACTCTATTACACTAACGGTGCTATGATAATTGGCAAGCCACATGTAGAAGAAAAAAACTGGTTCCTCATTTCCCAACTTATATAAAAACATTGACTCAAGATGGGTCAAAGACTTAAACCTAAAACCTGAAACCATAAAGATTCTAGAAGATAACATTGCAAACAACCTTCTGGACATTGGCTTAGGCAAAGATTTCATGACCAAGAACTCAAAAACAAATACAACAAAAACAAACACAAAAGATGAGACTTAAACTAAAGAGTTTCTGGACAGCAAAAGAAATAATCAGCAGAGTTAACAAACAACCCACAGAATGGGAGAAAATCTTCACAATCTGTACATCTGACAAAGGACTAATAACCAGAATCAACAAAGAAATCAGCCAAAAACCCCCACAAAATCCTATCAAAAAATGGTCTAAAGACATGTATAGACAATACTCAAAATAAGATATACAAATGGCCAACAGTATATGGAAAAAAAATCTTAACATCGCTAATTTATCAGGGACATGCAAATCAAAACTACAATGCGATACCACCTCAATCCTGCAAGAATGGCCATAATCAAAAAATAAAAAACATAATAGTGGGTGTGGATGCGACGACAGGGAACATTTTTACACTGTCGATGGAAATGTAAACTAGTACAACCAGTATGGAAAAGAGTGTGGAGATTCTTAAAGAACCTCAAGTAGATCTACCATTTGCTCCAGCAATCCTAATACTACGTATCTACCCAAAGGAAAAAACGTCATTATACGAAGAAGATAGCTGCACGTGTATGTTTGTATGTTTGTAGCAGCACAATTTGCAATGGCAAAAATATAGAACCAGCCCAAATGTCCATCAGTCAATGAGTAGATAAAGAAAATATGGTGTATAGAGGCAGGAGAATCGCTTGAATCCGGGAGGCGGAGGTTGCAGTGAGACGAGATTGGGCTGCTGTACTCCAGCCTGGGTGACAGAGCAAAACTCCATCTCAAAAAAAAAAAAAGACATGGGCCGGACATGCTGGCTCATGCCTATAATCCCAGCACTTTGGGAGGCTGAGGCAGGCAGATCACCTGAGGTCAGGGGTTTGAAACCAGCCTAGCCAACGTGGTGAAACCTCATCTCTACTAAAAACACAAAATTCGCTGGGCGTGGTGGCACACACCTGTAATTCCAGCTACTTAAGAGGCTGAGGCAGGAGAATCGCTTGAACCCAGGAGGTGGAGGTTGCAGTGAGCCGAGATGTTGCCATTGCACTCCAGCCCTGGGCAACAAGAGCAAAACTCCACCTCAAAAAAAAAAAAAAAGTGAGCTCTATATATATGTGTGTGTGCATATATATATGTGTGTGTGTATGTGTGTATATATACGTGTGTGTATATATGTGTGTATATGTGTGTGTGTGTGTGTGTGTGTGTGTGTATATATATATATGTATCCATCCCATGGAATACTACTCAGCCATAAAAGGAATAAAATATTGGCATTCACAGCAACCTGGATGGAATTGTAGACTACTATTCCTAAGTGAAGTAACTCAGGAATGGAAAACCAAACATCGAATATTCTTGCTTATATGTGGGAGCTAAGCTATGAGGATGCAAAGGCATAAGAATAATACATTAGACTTTGGGTCCTCAGGAGAAAGGGTGGGAGGTGGAGAGGGATAAAAGACCACACAATGGGTATAGTGTACACTGCTCAGGTGATGGGTGCACCAAAATCTCAGAACTCACCCCTAAAGAACTTACTCATGTAACCAAACACCACCTGTTCCCCAAAACCCTACTGAAATAAAAAATAATTATTTAAAAAAAGTTCTATATATAAAATATAAACATTACATATCGTATATGTAATAGATCATATATATCATATATAAATAGATTATACATATCATATATGTAATATAACCCTATCATGGTCATAAACACCTCACAGAACTTAATCTAATGATCTTATATATCATATATATGAGATATAAGATATATTCCTATTTATATATAAGCTATATCTCATTATATATGCATAACATATACATATTAGATATCATCAGATTAACTTTTGTGAGGTGTTTGTGTCCATAATTAACGCTTGCAAATATGTTCATCTACATATAATTGTGTAAATCATGATCAGAGGTGACAATGTTGAAATTTATCTCTGCCCTGTGATCCTGGAAAACAGCAAAGATTAAGAAATCTCTCCAACACTTATGTGCTATAGAATCTCATTTGCTGCAAAGAACCACTCTGCCCCATATAAGTTATTAATAGATAAGATTCACAGATGTCCCCCTTACTTACCTATGACATGTCTAGACACACACCCTCCAAATTCCCATTTTTGCCTAATAAATGATTAGTCGAATTGTTTTGTCTCCACTGACTTATCAGAACAAAACGCTTTGACAGAATGATTGTACAAATGGACAATGAACAGACCACATATAAAAATATAATGTTGTCCCAAAACCTGCCTTAACCTAGCTAGGAAAGCAACCCTTAGCTACAACAAATAATCCAGGAAGTCAGCCTGCCATAAATCAGACTTTGAAGAAACCAGATTGCTTTCTCTAGCGAAAAGCAAGAAAATTATACAATAACTTTTGTAACAATTGGCTCAAAATGGCCAGGACCTGATTAAAAACTGGCAGCTCCCCATTTACTGTCCCTAGTTCCAACTCAGGACAAATGAAAGAAAGTCAAATGTGCACCCCTAACCAATCACATAGGATGCCCAGCTTCTAGTGAGCCTTCCCACAGCTTCCCTAAGCTAACATCCTTCAACGAAGGTACACTTGAAGGCTTTCTTTTTTTCACTAGGTATAAAGCTTTCCCACTCTTCTGCCTGCCTCTCACTCTCTGAAATGACAGTGGCTGATTTCTTTGCTATAGCAAGCCTATCATAGCCTTTGTTTTTCTCATTTGGTTAGTCTGTATTTCCACAATTTATTATCCGAACTTTGTGCCCCAGGTTCATGAACTTTCACCTACCTCAGCCTAGGCCAGCATGCAAACTCTCCCTAAAAGCCCTTGCAAAACACAGATTAGCCCAAGTGTAAAACATTCCCTTTTATCCCTCTTCCACACACACCCAGTCTTTTTCTAGCTTTGTTTCTCTCTATAAATGAAAAAAAAATTAAAAAAAATTTTTTTTGCCTACAGTTTGAGATGCTTGCAGATCTATGATCAGAGAAATAGCACCCTCCCCTTATTACAATAGTCCCTTTCTCCCTCACAATAATACATTTGTGTAAAGTCTCCTTACCAGGTCCAGATTTGTTTTGTTTTCAATTTGACAGAGGATTTGTGAAGAAGTTGCTTATCTGCATGTATATATTTAAGTTTTCATTTTCATGTAAATATAATAAAGCAGTTTGTGTATGACACTTGGCAGAACATTGCAAAGTGACTGACCAAGAAAATCAATGATTGTAGAAGCAAAGAGTGTGGTCTACAATTCTGCTGAATCACATACTTGAAAAATGAGAAATAGAGATTACAGGGGCAGTAATTTTACTGAACTTGTCTTTGCTTAGTTTTAGGTGACAGGAGCCAGGATGATGTACCATCAACGTATAGGAAAGAGTGAATTATTTTCCCAGAAGGATATTAAGATTAGATAGGAGAAAAGCTTTCATGCACTGATTCTTATGAGTAAATTCATCTATTCATCTAGAGAGAACGAGCTCAAGATTCAGGGAGAAAAGCTTTTGTTGGGTGTAGTTAGGTAGCCAAATTCTTAACATTTTTCTTCAAATCTTTTGAAACCAAAGTATTATGTGCTGTGATTGAATTTCCATGAGAAAGAAAAGAAAAAAGTTTGACCTATCAGCCAGAGATGATCAGCTATTATTTTCTTGATATTCCAAGTAAAAAGGCCCATTGGGTAGAAAAGAGCTGTAAATGAAGTATCCCATAGCACTATCAGAAATGCAGCAGAGTTCTACGGAGCCTCATTCAATCACTCTATCATGTGAGTGGCAGTCTTAAAAAGACAATCTACTTTTGCCATTAACTAATCCTTATTTAAATCTTGCTAATTAAAATAATATCATAACATTTATTTATGGCTTACTATTTGTCAGGCGCTATTCCAAAAGCTTTTTTTGTAGTGTTTTATTTAATTCTCACAAATCCCCTAGAATGTAGGTATTATTATTATTATCAACCACATTTACTGATAAGAAAATTGAGACACAGAAGCAAGAACAACCATGCCCGAGATCACACAGCTAGTAAATGTTAGAGCTGAGAACTGAGCTTATAAACCAAAAATAACATCCTAAGACCCCCAAATGACTGGACGGACATCCTCTTGGCCAAGGGGACCCCAAATAAACCTGAAAAACTGAATTCCCAGCCATAATGGGAAGGGAGTTCAGACATGCTTCATTATATTCCCTCATTTTTTTGGAGTTTCGGCACAGCTGACCAACACTGAGTTTAAAATAGAGATCATCACAATATAGGAGTTAAAAAGAAATTATTTAGGCAGGTGGTGAGGGTAATGAAGTCCTCAGTAACATTTTTCTTTAATGAAAAGCAACCCCAGGCGCGGTGGCTCACACCTGTAATACCAGCACTTTGGGAGGCCAAGGCTGGCAGATCACCTAAGGTTGGGAGTTCGAGACCAGCCTGACCAACATGGAGACAACCCCATCTCTACTACAAATACAAAATTAGCCAGGCATGGTGGCGCATGCCTGTTAGCCCAGCTACTCAGGAGGCTGAGGCAGGAGAATTGCTTGAACCTAGGAGGCAGAGGTTGCAGTGAGCCGAGATCGCCCACTGCACTCCAGCCTGGGCAACAAGAGCAAAATTCCGTCTCAAAAAAAAAAAAAAGAAAGAAAGAAAGAAAAAGAAAAAAGCAACTCCAAAATCATTTCCTTTCGAACAAACAGCAGCCTATAGAATTGAGCTGCAGACATAGAAAAGCAAGCTGGCAGCTTACATAGGTAAAGGCTGGCAGCTGTGCCAATAGGACAAATCTACCTTGGGGCTAGGCATGTTCAACATGGCAGCTCCATCTTCCCTTTTCCTGGCTAACGGCATGTGCAGTAAGGAGCAGGCAACATAGCGCCCACCAAGCATAAAGTCCATTCACATAATAAAAAGATTAGGGTGGGGTGGCCAGCTTCTTAATACGCTATGTAAATATCACATCTAGTTCAACCAATCTTTGGTCCCTATGTAAATCAGACACCTCCTCCTCAAGCTAGTCTATAAAACCCCATGCACTCCACCACGGACTGGAAGTCCCACTCAGGCACCCCTCTCTCTCTGTAGGAAAGAGATCTATTCTTTTTTCTCTTTCTTTCACCTATTAAACCTCCCCTCTTAAACTCATTTCTGTGTGTCTCCGTCTTCAATTTCCTTGGTGTGAGACAACGAACCTTGGGTATTTCCCTGGACAAATGATGCTCCTTCAATAAGACAGAACAGACTCTTTGTGGCAATGCTATACCAAATTCCCGTGTGACCCCGGTACAGCATCACATGACAGCAGACCCTGAAGGAAGTCAAAATATTTTATCTCAAAATATATTTATTTGACATGTTTTGAAATGATTCTGCAAAATTGTCTCTTGTGTGAGAAATTTGCACCTGTAGAAAATCCCATTAATGCAGCCAACTTTATTTTCTAGGTCTTTCTCGGATCTAGGAGAGATGAAATCAGAGCCTGATGTCTTCAAGTTCTGAAAAGAGACATTTACCGTCTATTCTTTCTGAAGCCTCCTGCCTGGAGGCTTCACTTACATAACAAGAACCCTGGTCTTCACAACCTCCCTTATGTTACTTTGGGCATTTCTTTCTTCTGATTTCAAGTCTTTAGACAAAGCTTAACTCTTTCAATCAATTGTCAATTAGAAAATCTTTGAATCCACTTATGACTTGTAAACACACCATCTCTTCAAGATATCACATCTCTTTAGGCTGAACCAGCATATACCTTACATGTATTGATTTGTGTTTTTGCCTGTAACTTCTGTTTCCCAAAATGCATAAAACCGAACTGTAAGCTGACTGCCTCAGGCACACCTTCTCAAAACCTCTGGAGACTGTTCCCCAGGCCATGGTCTGTCATACTGGGTCAGAATAAACTTCTTTAAATATTTTACTGTGCTTTGTTTTTCCATTAACAAGCTCATGGATTGACTTACAGATATACCCACCCAATTATCATGCTAAACTCCTTATAGAAGTGCCCAGAATAGAAATGGTCATCACCATCTCTTCACCTGATATGTGGCATCCAGGCCAAAGCCTGCTTTCTCCATTACATTCCATTTCACATCCTCTATCCTATCCTAGGAAGTCTTAGGATCTGTATATTTATTTAGCACATATGAAATATTTTTTGTTAAAAAAATTGTAAATAAATCTTTATAGGCATAGTAATTTTCTTTTCTAGTTTTGTTCTCTCGTTTTTAAGGATCATTTGCTCATTGTAAAAACTTTAAGAATTTAAAATTTATGAAAAAACGCAGTTGTGGTTCTCCCCAAAACCAAACCTTGTTAACTTTTTCATCTGTATCTTTCTAGTGGGATAAAAATATGTGCGAGCAAATCAGTGTTTGACCATATTTTTATTACATAAAAGAAATTATTCACTATACATTGTCTGTGACTTTTTCTTTTCCAAGTAAAAATATACCTTAGACATATCTCAACATCTACTAATACTGATTTCCTTCATTCACTTCAATAATTACAGAGATTTCTGTTCTATGCAGATAACATACTTCATTTAAACAATGACATAGTAATGAACACTTGGATTATTTTTAAACTTTTTTCATTGAAAAAATGCTGCAATAAACTCTTCACATAAATAACCTGACATTTTTTGACAGTGTATCCAGTGGATAAATTTCCAGCAAATATTCAAAGGATGCATACTTTTCACAATAGATATTGGCAAATTACTGTCCAGTGGCTTAACAATTTACACTTTTATCAACTGTGTGAGTGAAAGACAAGTTTCTCTGCAAATTCCACACCAGATGTTAACTATTTTTGACAAATGGATAGATGAGAAGTGTTATATTCTGTATGTTTCTTGTTTGTTTGCATCTTCCTGATGACTTGTTTTTCGGCAAGATTAGTGGTGGAAGTGGACAACGTAAGGCAATATGTATGAAATGGAAGATAATATTATATAGTAAGAATGGTCCTACAGGGCAGAGTCAAGAATTGTGGGGGAAAATGCTTTGGGACCTATTCATAAGGAGCAAAATAGAGGCCTGATGGAGAAATATCCCTACTCTCTGGGTAGCTGGATCTAACATTTCCCAGGAGATTTTTAGAATTGTTAGAAATAAGTCTTCTGTGTACCACCTTGTCCCCTTTCCAAATGGGACTGTCTTTGTAGAAATCTTATAACTGTTTTGCCTCGCGTATGGGAGAAAGACAACTTGGCTTCTTACTTCACAGGTTTTCAAAAAAAAGAAAAGCTGCATATAGTCATTCATGTTGCAAAACATGGAAATCTGAGTCTTGAGATTATGCAGTTACTGGACGATACTTTTGACGTGTCTTGTTTGAGATGAGGAGTTTGCATGTGAGAGGGAAGTAAATGCTTGTGAACAATAAGAAAGGCTTTGGGACATAGGACTATAGTTTGCAAATCTTCATTTCCTTCCTGCAGTGGTTTAATTCATCTACACACTTTGCTGTTTTTCATGGCAGTGCTTCCTTGAGGAATAAGTGGAGTACACATCATTGTTCCACCGGCTTTGGCATAGTCACAAAACTTGTTTTGGTCAATGCAATATTAGTAAAGGTAATATAAACAAAAACTTTAAATATGTCTAGTTAAATTTGGTTTAGCATGGCCTCTTGGGTTTTAGCCATCCAAAATAATAAGATTATGCCTAATTATGCCTGAGTAGCTGCAGGTTTCATAGTGAAAGACATGGAACTGACCTAAACCTGAACCATATCTTAAGTAGAGCTGTCCCAGAAGACTTGCAGAACTGTGACCAATAAATAAATGATTGTTGACAGTATGGGGTTGTTTGTTACAGAGGGTTACCTTGATGGAATGCTGACTAATATAAAACTATAAGATTTAAATTCCACATGGACCATATTATTATCATTATTTAAAGAAAGACTTAGAGCATTTAAGTGAACTGAGCAAGACGGTGTATTAATAAAGAGGTGGTCAGGATATAAACTCACATCAGAACACAAAGGTGGAAAAGTGCTTTTTTTTTTTTTCGAGATGAAGTTTCACTCTTGTTGCCCAGGCTGGAGTGCAGTGGTGTGATCTCAGCTCACTGCAACCTCCACCTCGTGGGTTCAAGCAATTCTCCTGCCTCAGCCTCCCAAGTATCTGGGATTACAGGTGCATGCCACTATGCCCAGCTAATTTTTTGGATTTTTAGTTGAGACAGCGTTTCACCGTGTTAGCCATGATGGTCTCTATCTCCTGACCTCATGATCTGCCCGCTGGGATTAAGTGCTGGGGTTAAGGCATGAGCCACCGTGCCCGGCCGGAAAAGTGCTTTTATCCATTATATATTACTGTCTTCCTATTTAGTCACTGAACACAGAGGAGTGAGGACAGTAACAAGGATATTCATTAAGGAGGTAGGTAACAAGTGACTTAAATTGGAGTAAAATGAGAAAACAAGGGTTAGAATTGAAGACAAAAAAGAACGGAGTCGTATGTAAGAGATAATAAGGAGAAATTCACAATATTTGAAGTTTCTCCAAGATGTTCCTTTTATGGTGCTATGTCAAGTGAGACAAACTGTTTAGCAAGAAGGTAATAGGTGCTCTTCACTGTGGTAAATAAAGCAAAAATTTTGTGAAAATGTATCTTCTTTCAGACAACTTATACCCATACATTAAAATCCTTGTAACCAATATTTATTGATTTTACTTTGGGGAAATGCATATCTAGAAGCAACAGCAAATGTACTGAGTCCTACAATTTACTCCATCCACCAGGCATGTATTTATTTTAAAATTCTTACTGCTTGTCTTTATAGGTGAAGTACAATGCAATTTTATTTCTAGTAAAAAGTGATATAATTAAATGGACAATTACAAAAACAATGTGTGTATAATAGTGACTGAAATAATTCAACATCATTTCTTTTTCCTGATGGTAGTGATAGAGGAGGCAGAATTATATACGTAACTATAGCAGAGTGCATAAACGTTTCAAAAATTACCTCAGGGGTTTATCTTCAAAAAACAAATTCTACAAATGCATACAAACACAAACACACAATCACACACACACCTTTAATAATGGAATAAGTCACCTTGGATATACTAAATTTTTATTAGCTTCACTGATGGCAAAATGCTCACTTTAGGGCTGGGTACCTGTAATCTCAGCACTTTGGGAGGCCAAAGTGGGTAGACACTCAAGGCCAGGAGTTTGAGACCAGCCTGGCCAACATGGCAAAACTACGTCTTTACTAAAGTACAAAAATTAGCTGGGCGTGGTGGTGCACACCTGTAATCCCAGCTACTCGGGAGACTGAGGCAGGAGAATTGCTTGAACCCGAGAGATGGAGGTTGCAGTGAGCCAAGATCACACCACTGCACTGCAGCCTGGCCAACAGAGTGAGACTGTCTCAAAAAAAAAAAATGTTTAATAGTTGCGTTATTACCAAGCAATATTATGGAAGAACAAGTTTTAGTCCAAGTCTCTGCTAATAAAAGCAATTTGGTTCATATCAGCATGTTTAGATTTTCTATCGCTGAACATTTAGTATGTTAGTTATACATAATATATGTAATCATCAGTCAGATTCCAATCTGTATATATAAAACATACTGGGAATTGGAAGAGGGAAAATTTCACATACAGAATTGTTAACTAGGTAGTTAACAAGAAAATTCTAAGATGCACAGAAGTAGCGAGTGCATAAATCGGGTGCTACTATTTCTAGAGCTGAGGGAGAGTGCAAAATGAAGGGTTGAACTTAGAACATCTCCCTACCTGCTGAGACCAGCTCGGTTGTGGAGACCCTAACCCAGCAGCACTAGAGGAATTAAAGATACACACACAGAAATATACAGTGAGGAGTGGGAAATCAGGGGGCTGACAGCCTTCAGAGCTCAGAGCCACAAACAGAGTTTTACCCACATATTTACTGACAGCAAGCCAGTGATAAGCATTGTTTCTATAGATTATAGATTAACTAAAACGGGAAACAAAGTGATGGGCCAAAACAAAGAGATGGGCTCTGGCTAGTTATCTGCAGCAGGAACATATACAATAGCTCATGCTATTGTTTGTGACTTAGAAATGCCTTAAGCGGTTTTCCGCCCTGGGTGGGCCAGGTGTTCCTTGCCCTCATTCTGGTAAACCCACCACCTTCAACGTGGGTGTCATGGCCTTCATAAACATATCACAGTGCTGCAGAGATTTTGTTTATGGCCAGTTCTGGGGTCAGTTTATGGCCAGATTTGGGGGCCTGTTCCCAACGCCTACACCCATCTGAAATTCAGACCTCTTTGGAGAAAGTATGGCTGCCACAAGAACACCAGCCTTCAGGTGATGAGGAAACCAGCCTTCGGGAGCAGGGCAGAGATCTCGTAGAGGTGTGGCCTACTGGGTGGGATACACTTGCTGCCTGGTGAGAACCACAGCTAGTCTATGAAGGTCCTGAAGTAAGCATTGTCAGACCTCTCCTGTGATTTGCTGGCTGTCATGTCCTCAAAAACAGCACACTAGAAGCAGGAAACCCCTTCATCTGTCAGTGTCCCTTCCGCTCTTTCTATTGACAAAGACTAACATTGAGACAGCTGCAAAGGAGAAATGTCTACAGGGTAAAGCTTCAGTATTACAACATAGGACAAAGAAGGGGTGACTTGGAACTGAGAGGCAACAAATCAATGGGACTATATCTATGATGTAGATCAGACATGCACCATGGTGTCTTTTTCTACTTCTATTTTGGATGTTTTCCTTTTTGGGAACTAAGTCAAACTGTAGTTTCTTCTTGTTTTATGGTCACATTTTGAACAATTTAAAAACAAAAGGTGGGTGGGGAGAAGAGAAGTCAAAAATCCTGTCAAAAGTTGGCTCAGAGGCAACCCCAGCAGCCTGACTTAGTCATAGCTGCCCTACAGCAACTTTCATATAGATGTGTGTCATTATAGTGAGGTGTTAGCTTAATTCATTCAATAACTTTTCACGAAGTTATCAGAAAGATGAGAAGACGTGAATGTCTTTTTGAGTCACATGTTTCTGGAAATACACTTGGATTTAATTACGCACATCTCTCTGTGAAAAAGCAAGACGAATGAAGTGAAATGGAGTATTTGCAGCATTCTTCAGCCTGCTTTCATGGAATAGAGAACATTAATGTTAGATTAACTTTCTGTTTGCCTCATTTTCCTGTGATTAATTGTACAACTCTTCACCAGAACAGTTTATGTTATATATCATGCCATGAGAATCAATGTAGATATCCAACTAATCAACGTAGAAAGCAATCTTTCACAACTTAAATTTTTCATTTTTTTCTAATTCAAATCAGCTCAAGTCCTTTTTTCCAAATTATTAAACTTTATTTTGTAAAGAAGTTTCAGGTTCACAGTAAAATTAAGTGGAAATTTCAGAATTTATATATACCCTCATTCTCAAACACACACACACAAAACCTTCCCCACTACTGACATCCTGCACCACGGTAACTTGTCTGTTACCATTGATGAGCCTATATTGATGCATCATTATCAGGCAAAGTTGAGAGTTTCCACTGGGTTTATGCTTAGTGTTATACTTTTTGTGGAGTCTGACAAATGCATAATGACATGTATCTATCAATGTATTCTCATACAAAATAGTTTCACTATCCTAAAAATTCTCTGGGCTTCACTTATTCATCCCCTTAACTCTTGGCAAACACTGATCTTTTCCTTTTGAGATGGAGTCTTCCCAGTTTTATTCTTTTCTAGAAGGTCTTAGAGTTAGAATGTATATATTAATAGTTTATAGATTTTTAAGTTTGATCTCTCTCTTTTCATCATATAAATTTGTTTCTTCCATCTCATTTCATGGCTTGATGTCTTATTTCTTTTTGGTGCCAAATGATTGTCTGGAGGTACCACAGTTTATTTATTCATTATCCTACTGAAAGACATTTTTGTTGCTTCCAAATTTTTGCAATTATGAATAAAGCTGCTACAAACATCTGCTGTGCAGGATTTTTTGTAGACTTAAGTTTTCAATCAATTTGGGTAAATATCAAGAAGCATGATTTCTGGATTACAGGATAAAAGGAAGTTTAATTCTGTAAAAAACCACTAAACTGTCTTCCAAAGTGGCTGTACCATTTTGCATTCCTGCCAGCGATAAATGAGAGTTCCTGTTGCTCCACATCCTCACCAGCATTAGCTATTGTCAATGTTCTGGATTCTGGCCATTCCAATAGGTGCATAGTGGTATCTCATTGTTTTAATTTGCAATTCTCTAATGACATAAGATGTTGAACAGTTTCATATGCTTACTTGTCATCTGTATATTTTCTTTGGTGCAGTGGTTATTCATATTCAAGTATTTTGTCCATTTTAAAATTTTTTTTCTTTTTTTCTTCCTTTTTTTTTTTTTTTTTTTTTTGAGATGGAGTCTCCCTCTGTCACCCAGGCTGGAGTGCAGTGGTGCGATCTCAGCTCACTGCAACCTCTGCCTCCTGGGTTCAAGCAATTCTCCTGCCTCAGCCTCCCGGGTAGCTGGGGCTACCAGTGCACACCACTACGCCCAGCTAGTTTTTTTGTATTTTTAGTAGAGACGGGGTTTCACCATATTGGCCAGCCTGGTCTCGTACTCCTGACCTCATGATCCACCCACCTCAGCCTCCCAGAGTGCTGGGATTACAGGAGTGAGCCATTGTGCCTGGCCTATTTCCTATTTTTAAAATTGTTTTTGTAGAGACAGGGTCTCCCAATATTTCCCAGGCTGGTCTCAAACTCCTGGGCTTAAGTGATCCTCCACCTCGGCCTCCCAAAGCGCTGCGATTATAGGCGTGAACCACCACGTCCAGCTCTATTTTGCCTATTTTTTAAATAATAGTGTTTGTTTGCTTACTTTTAAGTTTTATCAATCAATATATCTTGTATAAATAGATTGTCTCTGGTGTGTTCTACAATAGTGAAATCTCCTTCTTATTCCTCCTGCTTTAACAACTGTGTAGAAGGAAAAAAAAACAATGAATAAAGATAAAACATGTAGCATGTCATGTGAAATAGTCAATCCAAAGCATTTGCTGACATTTGCAGAGGACATATTAGTAAATATCAGGTACAATGACTCTGAATAACAACAATAATACTATTATTAACAATAATGGCAGCTATTGCTATTTATTGAACCATTATCTTATGCTAGGCATCATACCAGTGGCTTCTTATACATTAACTCACAAAGCCCTAGTAAGTAAATGTAATTATCCCTACTTTTTATTGAGACTATTAAGATTTTGGAATTCAGTTACTTTCCTGAGGTCACATATTTAGAAAGCAGAAGAACTTATATTCTAGTATTGGTTTGTCTTGCCTCAAACACACATATTTTTCACTCTACTGCCTAGTCAAGTGTTGAATTCTGTTATCTAGATTATAGACGACACACGAGTGCAGAGCTTTTAGCAGCCACATTCTCCACCTGCTCCTAATTATTCAGAGAACCATTTGAAAGATACACATAATGCCTTTCCTCAAATCAACTCCTAAGCTCCCTGTTATTAACTTCTTGCACGTTAGCTTTTCTCTGTTCATTCCCAGACCTCTATCTTATTTTTCATTCTCTGTTTAAGTTTTCTGCTTAGGCCTTGGGTGTGATGCATACCCTCATATTTCCTGTGGCATCTGTGGCAGAAGCAGTGATATTCCAGCAGCAGCATTCAGCTAAATATTTAATCAGATTAGGTACAAAACCACTATCCAAAATGCATGTGTTCTCAGGCTTAGATTGTCATTCTAAAGAGGCACAGGTCACTAGACATACTGGATTTAAACTCCAGCCTTTCGTCTTCCCTCATTATGAAGTGAATACGCATGCAATTATTTTTTGTGAATATACAGAACTTTTTGGAAGTTGGGAAGCATCCTCTACCATACTTATATTGTACTTCTTTGTATCACACCTTTCACCTTCCCCACTCACAGGAGATCTCCCAATTTTGATGATAATTATTTTATATATTTCCCTTCTACCAATGTCTCCCTAAAATTAATGTTTTACTTTTGCTTACTTTCAAACTATACATAAATGGAGTATGCCATTATACTCCTTTATAACTCACTTTCTTCGCTCAATAGTTTGTGATCCACAATTGTGTTACTCTATATAACCTTGGTTTATTTTGAAAATGTATTTGTATTTATTGATTCTACTATTGATCTATTAAAAACAAAGTTATTAATATTCTTGAGTGTATATTCCAGTACAAATGGATGACTTTCTCTAAGATACAGTTGTTCCATTTCAGCACTATAAAATCTTTGACGGGATAACTTTTGTTGGCATGTGTGGGAGGGTGTTGCTCTGTGCTTTACAGGATGTTTAGTAACATCCCTGGCCTATACTCACTAGGTGCCAGAAACTCAGCCCCTCTCTGATTTTGGGTTGTCTCCCAATTGTGAAGACAACCAAAAATGTCTTCACACATTTCTATATGTCTTTTGAGGGATAAAAGTGCCCCCAGTTGAGAACTACTGTCACAAAAACATGAAAAACCCATGGAGAATTGTCACCTAATGCTTCATCTTAATGTTTTCATCCTCATCCTTGGTGACCTCTGAAGTAGGCACTGGAGAATAAGTCTTCTAGGGAACATGGGACAGGGAGTTGGAGAGGTTTTTGTTTTTATTAATTTTGCTGACCAGTTAGTTCAGAATTCTCACCACGTAGATTTGTGGCCAGTTGTACCTGCTGACCCCTTGTGGTTGAGTGAGGTGTATGACTAGTTATGGCCATGAGTGCAAGAAAAACACGTCTTCCCTGAGCTAGAGCATTTAATTGCTGGTGCCAAACACAACCCCCGTCCGACTTCTTTTCCTCATCTCGATTAGTGTCCCGCAACATTCAAAATGGTAGCTGATTTGTCTGCTTAGGTTGCTAAGAGACTACTATGAGTCAAATACTCCCACCAACACCCAATAGTCATACATGACGTGCGAGAAAGAAATCTTCGCATTAAACAACTAAGATTTCGATGATCACTTTTTATAGAAACTGTTACAGAGCATGTTATGAAAACTGGTACGTAGAATTAGGGTAGCATCATAATTTTTTAAAAAGAAACCTAAAATATATGACTGAATGAAAGCAGAAAGAAAACTGTTATGGAGAGCTGAAAACATGATGATCCACGTTTTACAGAGGCAAAATATTTGACAATATTTTTGCTTGCGGTGAGTTGAAAAGCAGGTAATATATATAGTACATATTATGATTTTAGGGTTAGAGTTTGGAAAAATAATGGCAATAGCATATTGGCTTCTATTTGATTGCATTTGCTATGGTTCCTCTAAGAAAAAGCAAATCTCGCATTTGCAATTAGGAATTAGTGAGAATACAAAGAGTTCGGGAATTTGGGGGCTTAGAGAGCTGGACATAGCAACTTCTCAATACTAAGAGTAAAATATAGGTTGGAGAAGTGTTCTGAGCAAGAGAGGCCAACTAGAGCTCAGCATAATGGCAAATATAACATCTAAGTTATATTCAGACACCCATGGTTAAAATCTCTGAATGGTTTGAAATTCGGAGGAAATCTTAACAGTAGAAAAAAATTTCCCAAGGTTAAGGATATTGCTTTCCCACCACACTGATTAGCTTAGAATATCCACACTAAATTCAGAGAAAAGGCATATGTGGAAAAGATATATGCATATGATAAGAACATATTAAACTATTCAAGATCAAAGGGGTAAGAAGCTAAGTTTTTGAAGCCAGGTTTTGAAGAATCTGTCTGCCAAAGACACAGTGTACCTGAACTAAAAATGTTTTTGACTGTATGTACAAAAATTCTTAGGACCTAAGCCTTTTACAAACAAGAAACATTTCCCCAGCTCCCTGTTCCTTGTTCCCTGGGGGACTTACTCTCCAATGCCTATGTCAGATGTGGCCAAGGATTAGCACAAAAACAGAAGTGTTAGAAGACAACTCTCCATAGGCTTCTCATGTTTCTTTCCGTCTTGCTAGTGGAGGCACTAACTGACTTTGTTTTGGACCATCTTAGCAAAGATATTTGTATAGCAAACAGCTTTGGAACATCAAAATAATGTCTCTTCAGGCAAAAGTCATGAATGTTTTCTGTCCAGTACAATAAATATAACATCTTCCTCTGGATCAGACTTTCTTACTGCCCATTATCAAAGACTTGAGTTCCCTAAATTCATGGTTCTGCTTCTGTAATACATCATGCTGTGTGCGCAGGAGTCAGCTGTCCCTATTTGTATCACTCTGTGGGAATGAGGACTCCAGGAACAGGAACAGGAAAATGCTGATATTCTGCCTAGTGCTATTGCTGCGAATAATAAGTTCTTTGTGTCTATCTCA